>NC_000013.11:77044469-77195984 GCF_000001405.40 Homo sapiens | reverse complement strand
ATTTCTAGAACTGTGCTTGGCATACAGTATGTGTTCAAAAATATTGGTTGAATGTAAATACAGGAGTCAGATTGGGGACAAATTATTAAGAACCTTCATATCATGCTGTGGAGGAGATGAGAAACCAAGGAATAATTTTAGATTAAGAAAGTATTCTGATAAGATATTTTTATAAGGGTACTAAGGGTCATGAAACAAATACAAAAATCCTCAACTTTGTGGAATATGGGTTAGAAGAAGGAGAGAATGGAGATAAGACTAATTAGTTGTTGAAATATTCCAGCCAGCAATAGGGAATATGGTTGAATTGACAAGCTTTGGTACCAGTAAGAGAATAGATACAGTAATGGCAGAGAAATATGGAAAAATGATTATTTCGGACTATTTTTTTTTAAGAGTCTCTTTGGTAGCCCACACTGGAGTGCAGTGATGCCATCTTGGCTCTCTGCAGCCTCTGCCTCCTGGGTTCAAGCAATTCTTCTGCCTCAGCTTCCCGAGTAGCTGGGACTACAGGCATGTGCCACCACGCCCAGCTAATTTTTGTATTTTTAGTAGAGACGGGGTTTCACCATGTTGACCAGGCTGGTGTCAAACTCGTGACCTCATATGATCTGCCTGCCTCAGCCTCCCAAAGTGCTAGGATTACAGGTGTGAGCCACCAGGCCTGGCCTATTTCAGACTTTTTATCTAAGAGATTAGGTGAATGAAAGACCATTAACCAGAACAGAGAAGGCAGGAAGAAGGTATAGAACTAGTAGGACAAAGGGAATCCAATGACTGTTGAGAATAAGAGCTGAGCTGGAGAAAGATTTCTAAGTCATTAGCATATAATTTAAAAATTTAGACACCTAGCACAGTACTTGTCCAGTAAATTTTAATGCATTTTAATCTTTATCTGCCTCTCTTGCAATTCACCTTCCATAATTATCCAGAGGAAAAAGGTTTTCTTAAAAAAAAAAAGGACATTTTTTAAAAAGACCTCTTCTTCATAATTCTTATTTTCACTTAATTTCATAACCTTTTTGTATTGGATATCTTTTCTGTTTTTTTCTTACCCAGAGGATCTTCCCCTCTTTTTTAAGAGCCATTTGTTTCATGCTTTTCATCTATCTTTTTCTCATGCCATATTACTTTGAACTATATTTTGTTACCTATTGTTTTTAAGGATTCTTATGTTGCTCTTCTCTCTCTGTAGCTAATATTTCTCTACCCTTTTTTATTGTTTGTTTTTTTAAGAATTCTACAGTATTCACTTACTTTTTAAAAGTACTGTGAGATGGGAACTGTTAGTATCCACCCACCTTTTATGGATGAGGAAACTAGGTCCCAGGATCTCAGTTAGTAAGTGATGAAGCAACATTCTACCTCATTTAGAATGAGGTAGAATCTCACTTAGTGAGAGACTCACTTAGTTAAAATTTTTTGTTGGAGTTCTCTCACCTTTTTCAGATGCACATATTAGGTACAAAACTTGTATAGAACTATTTAGAGCATTTGATGTAAATAGATGAATATATAAATTAGGAAAACAGAGATTAATGTAGACCATAAAACCTTGTTTCCTAATTTAAATACATATGTTTGTGTATTTCACATAGTAATGTTAAAAAAGCAGGTACTCTGATTTTTTACATTTGGTATGGTCCAGCATACATTCATCATGCACAAAATTATGAACACATTGTTCATCAGATATGTATAGCTGATTTATATAAATGATTGTCTTTCTCCTTTCCTTAGCTGTTTGAATTGGGTCCTGATGGAGGAGATCATGAAACTGATGGTGACCTTCTTGCAGAGACTGATGTATTGGCTTATGACTGTGCTGCTAGGTAAATAATTTGTGCATTATTCATTGTAACTCTTGCATACTTAATATTAAAAATTTATTATAAATGAATAAACATACTTTAAAAGGAAGTTTTAAATCTGCTATGAATATCAAATACTTGAGAAATTAAATTATATATTAAGCAATATAAGTATTGCTTTCAAAAATGCTGAATTAAAACTAATATACTTCATAAATTTATTTCATAAGTCAACTGTTTCAATATTGAAGATAAAAATGGAAATATGCATATATTTTATACACCTTTACTTTCATGCATCTCTTACGGAATACCTAGTTTGCTGGTGTTCTAGTAATAATACAGTTATTTATTACTCCTAGCATTACAGGTAATAAATAATTAGCGTCAAGTGGTCATGTTTGACCATAATTCAGATTACCCATGTACTCTGACATCATGCTGCTAGAATATATTTGATAATAACACACTTGGGGAGGTGACTAGCTTTACTGAAACCTTTTGGGAGTTTATAAAAATTAGTATGTTTATTTATGAAGGTTCATTAAGTAAGAGGATACTTACACTTTATCAGTCCTCTCTACGTAATCCTAAGAATTATCTCAATATTGTGTTATGATCAGTGTTCCCTGGTTTGAAGCAGGGAATATTATTATAAGAAAAATTATAAACTGAGCTTCATAGTAGTAATAGTGTGCTATGTTTCCCAACAATAACTATGTTAGGAAAACCTTGTAGGTTTTCTTGCTAGTGAAAATGTATATTTTCAGAAACAAGGATGATCGTAAGATACTGACTTTGCTTGTACAAGATATAAATACTTTTGAAAACAAAAGAGTAAATCTAAAGAAAATTTTGACTATTTCTTAGGCATTAACTAATATCGCAAGATTTTTTTAGTAACCTTTAGTGTTTTATACAAATGAATATTAGGGAAAATTTTAAGAAAGCTAATTGATTAATTTTCAGCAAAGCCTTAAGGTGCCATTGTCATTTGCCGTATTTATTTATTTCTTTATTTATTCATTTATTAATTTTTATTTTTGAGACAGAGTCTCACTCCATCACCTAGGCTGGAGTGCAGTGGTGTGATCTCAACTCACTGCAACCTCTGCCTCCCGGATTTAAGCGATTCTCATGCCTCAGCCTCCTGAGTAGTTGGGACTACAGTCGCATGCCACCAGGCCCGGCTAATGTTTGTATTTTTAGTAGAGATGGGGTTTTACCATGCTGACCAGGCTGGCCTTGAACTCCTGACCTCAAGTGATCCTCCTGCCTTGGCCTCTGAAAGTGCTGGGATTACAGGAATGAGCCACTGTGCCTGGCTGCCATTTGTTTTTGACCATATGAGTTTGAGTCGAAAATATAAAGCACAGTTTCATTTATAGAGAATCGTCTAGGATTTCTTCATTAGCTTATATACAAAGCCCAGACTCCTAAGGCATTGGGAGCATTGAAGGATTTCCATAACATCCAGCATCTTTTTTGACTTTCTACCACTACTCTTCTACAGCTGTCTTAATGCATTAATGAAATTAATAATGAACACCTTGTCATTTCCTGACCTCTTTTGTACTTCCATACCTCTACAGATTTTTTCATGACATTCTCCTGCTTCTTTAAATGCCCTTTATTCTTCTTTCAATTCCAGCTACAACCAATAAACATTCCTTCCACTCTGTTACCTAGTACTTTGTAACTTGTTTATATCCTTTAGAAGATGCCCTTATTTATTGTCTTTTTTCTTCTTCTAAATTAATAATGTTTGTATAGATATTATGTGACAGACTCCAAACACCTATCTGACTTAATTCATTCTAAAGGACAACTCTATGAGCAGGATATTATTTTCACCACAGTTTTCAGGTGAAGAAGCTAAGGTACTGAGAGGATAGAGTAACTTGCCCTGCGTTGCCCTGCTAGCAGGTCACAGAGCTGGGCCTTGAACCCAGGCTGCCTGACTCCAGGGCCATTTTCTTAATATGCTGCCTTTCAAAACTATTTAGCTGAATGAATGAGCTTTAAAACTAAAGTTCAGATTTTTATTTTCCAGCAAAATTTGAATGTTTTTTAATATCAGTTTAAAACATTCTAATTTTAATATGAAAGTTTTATAACATTTAAGGATATTGTAGAATTCAAGAAGAGGAGGAAGAAATGTAATTCTATCACCATAACATAAATAACTATATTTGCTTGCATTCTTGTCCAGACTTCTTAGAGTGTTTTTAATGTTGTTTGATAAGAATTTTATAATACAGTTAGTTTCATGTTTTTGTTCACAAGGGATTTTGAAAAAATAAATATATGTGACAGAGAAGTAAGAAAATATTGTTTTTGACTCACTAATTTTTTCTCAGAGAAAAATATGCAATGATGTTTGATGAGCCTGTTCTCCTGCAAGCTGGGTGGTGGTATGTGGCATGGGCCCGAGTGTCAGGACCCAGCAGTGACTGTGGATCTCATGGACAGGCATCTATTACCACAGATGATGGGTAAGTAAATGCCCAAGTGTTACTTAAGCAATACTTATTTTTGTTAGAGGAATATTGTTTTGAAAATTCAGAGTACTTTCAGCAGGATTCAAAAGCTTAGGAAGACTAGAGCATAATATAACTGCTAAAAATTAAATTCATGTAACCTCATGCCAAATTGAGGTCTAGACAGAACAAGGAGATAATAAGACCACTGTACTTTGCTCCTGTCAGATGGTATTTGTATATATTTCTGGGTATTACATTGTTTACGAGCTTGATTACCAAATTAGAAATTATATAGAGGAAGGTGACAAGGAAAATGAGGAGTTTGGAACCATAAAAAAGAAGTAGATATGTGATATTAAATTTGATAGTGCATGAGAAAACAGTTTAAAATTTCAAAGCTTCAGCAATGTGTGTTATTTTAATAAAATATAGGGAAAATTTTGCTGTTTTAAAATAACTTTCACGTATAGAGTACTTTTCAGTTCATATTCTTATATTTTATCTGATTTGATGCCCTCAATAGCTTTGTGAAGCAGTTATTAGCCCCATTTTATACTCCAGGGACTAGAGAAATAAAAAGGTGAAATTATTTGCTATTTCCTGAGAGTCATGTGGTTAAAACCAAGGTCAGACCTGTAACCTGTTGACTCTAAATCCAACATTTCAATATTCTATTACTATGATTTATGTATTCTAAAGGACTATCATTTGTAAGATAAATTCAGTTTATTCTTGATTACTCCTGAGCATAAACTATTTGAAATCAGTTGAAGTTATATAACAGTATATATTCCAGTGCAGGTCAATTCATAACAAAGCTGACCAAAAAAAGAAATAGACTTATTTGTGAGGTGAATTTCCTGTTGCTGAATATTCAAGGAGACTACTGTAGAAAAATCACATCTGTTGTTATGTGCATCAACTTAAGAATGTCTTTAGAACTAAGTGACTACTTTGACCCTGGACTGTATGATTTTCATAGACAGTTCATTCAGACTTGGAATGTCATGGCACACTGAGGCTAAAGCTTATCATGCAGCTAGTCAAGCAGATATTATACTACTTAGTTGTAAGTAGAAATTTTAGAAGTTTACTGCTGTGGTTAAAGCTGAGTTGGAGAGCTAGGAGGGACAGGACAGCTACTCATTTAGGAGTCCTAATCACGTTCAGTTCTTTCATTTTACTGACTAACCCATTCAGAGCTAGAATGAAAATCTAGAAAATACCTTTTTGCTTTTCTTTATGTAAAAGAGTGAATCATTTTCATTGACATAAGATTTGAAAACATGTTTCTTAAATTTCTTATTTCCTGTAATGATCATGTTGTTTTTGGTATCATTGTTTTCTCTTCTTAGGGTTGTTTTCCAGTTCAAGAGTTCAAAGAAATCAAATAATGGTACAGATGTTAATGCGGGTCAGATACCTCAGTTATTATACAGGTATTTAGCATATTTATACTGAATTAGTATGGTTTATTATTTTGCTATAATGAAGTAGAATCATTACAAAACGTGGCATAATAGGGAGAAATTATTTGAAGCATTCAGCAAATTATAATATGCTGGTAGAACTATAAATATATTTAACAAAAACAGTTAATATTTTGTATATTTTTAAACATTTTCCATACAGGCTTAACTTTAAACTTTGCCTGATTACTCAGATTATCTGTATTATACCAATAACAATATTTTACTGACTTTAAAAAAAATCTATCCATTGATTTTCTTACTAATTTCAAATGTTGTAAAAGAATAAAATTTGTCTTGGAGAAGTGAGATTGCAGGGAAGATGGGGAGGACTATAGATGCAGGCCTGGTTGATATATTGTAGTCTCATAAGACTGATAAAATGAGTTGGAAAATTCCCTACTGTTGGTAAATTTTCACCTTTAGCTAAAATACCAAATAATAACTTGCTCATATAATATTTACTATATTTTTAACATTATTGAAAAATTTTAACTTACAATAATTTAAGCATGTATAAAGGCATATGCCTGTGTTTACCTTATTTATTTCTAGACTACTGCAATACTTTTAGAATAAAGAATTCAAATGGATATAAACCGTTACTGAAAAATGTTGTCATTCGTTAAGCAGTAAAAAATCAAAGGAAATGGTCTAGAACTGTGATTCTATCTCCCTATCTTTCTTTCTGGTAATCACTTTGTGGTTACAAACATTATTTTTCCCCAAAAGGTTTTTTCGTTTGTTTGGTTTTTATGCACCGTGCAATCTGTTATAGTTACTGTTTGTAATATGTAGCTCTACAAACATAACGTGTTGCATTGGACTACTCCCAGGTACTCACTGGTTGAATAACTTTTAAATAACAGCATTAATAGTAGCATTACTAGAGAATATAAGTTATATGTTATATACATTATATATGTTCTCTAAGAAGAGGAAAAAGCCTCTACTACTCGGTCTTGCGAAGGTAGGATTTAAAGGAAGTGCCCATATGCTAAAAACTTTGTTTAGCTTGGAAAAATGTTTCAAAAAAGCCCTGTATTGGCATTACCTGGCAAAAAAATTTAAATATATAATTTATTTTCCCATTCAAAAATGTATAATATACTTTAAAAAGAAAAAATGACATTGGACTTTCTAACATAATTTTATATGTGTCTACTGCCTTTAGACTTCCAACCAGTGATGGCAGTGCTTCAAAAGGCAAACAGCAAACCAGTGAACCTGTACACATTTTAAAGAGGTCTTTTGCAAGAACTGTCTCAGTGGTAAGCCATGTTTTAAAAAATTTCAGCTTTTCTCTTCAGTCCTCAGATACATTTTGATGTTTAGAGTTTAGCTGCTCTTGTAAGTTTATCTTAGCCTAGATTTATAAACTCAGATTTGGTTTTGTATTCACATTTATATTCTAGACCACAGATAAAGTATACTTTAAATCATAGAAAAATGGAGGTGTTGGCCTATGATTTTAACATGACCAGATGAATTGGCCTTGCTGTTTTTGAAACAAATAACGATTTGCTTTTCTAGTAAATCATATATGAATGCATATGCTGAATGAATTAGAAAATGAAGGAAAAGTTAAGGATGGTGCTGGCCCAAAAAAGCGTGATTACTACTTGAGGAACTAGGTGGAAGAGTTGCATATCTAACTAGGAAGTTTGTTGAACCACTTGCCATCCCCATTGTACACATGAAGAAGCACAGTGCCATTGAGGTTAACAGTGCAGAATGGAAAGTCAACATGATGTAAATAAATGAAAGTATAAATTAAGGTCTTGATCTCTCATGTATTAATTGAGGATTCTTACGTATGTTACCTAAGTAAATTACATCATAGCATTTTGAATTTCTAATGAGATAAGGGGTGTAAGATGTTTTTGGAACTGTAAGGCACCATCTGAATGTGATTTATTAATATAGCTAGTAGTCTTTCATATTAGTAAAATGCATAGGAAGAATGTTTCTTTCCCTTTTAAATTTATTTTTCAACCCACCAAGTGAATATATATTCCTGGTAGGAATGAGATAAAAGTATCCTAAAAGTATATGAAAGATTTTTCTCCCATTCTCATGATCACCATATATACCTACTATTTACATTTTGGTGTGTATCTTCCCAGACCTTTTTTTTTTTTTTTTTTTGGTGAGGCAGAGTCTCGCTCTGTCGCCCAGGCTGGAGTGCAGTGGCACGATCTTGGCTCACTGCAACCTCCGCGTCCTGAGTTCAAGCAATTCTCCTGCCTCAGCCTCCTGAGTAGCTGGGATTACAGGCGCCTGCCACCACGCCCAGCTAATTTTTGTATTTTTAGTAGAGAGGGGGTTTCACCATGTTGGTGGTGGTCTCGAACCCCTGACCTCGAACAGGCTGGTCTCGAACCCCTGACCTCATGACCCACCCGCCTCGGCCTCCCAAAGTGCTGGGATTACAGGTGTGAGCCACCGCACCCGGCCTTCCCAGACCATTTTTATATGCAAAAAAACTTATTAGTACGTATCAAATACAGGATGCTCTACAACATGCTTGCTTGTTTCTTACGATACTTACAGTTTTCATCTTTTTTAGAAAATTTCGTATTATATATCATGGACATCCTTCCCTGGCAGTACATTTGGCTCTGTCAGTCTTCTCCGTTTGCGTACCATTATTCTAATTTATTCAATCTGATATCTATCAAAGAACCACTTTGATTCTCATTTTTTGTTATTTCATCTTGCTTCATGAGCATCTATACACATACATCTTTAAATACTTGTGTACTTATGTGCATACTTCTACTGGAAATATGCCCATTTAAAGTTTGGTATATCCTCTCAAAGTTGACCTTCCAAAAGAGCCATGGCAGTTTGTAGAGCTTGTGCTTTGAATAAAAGACTATGAGAACTTTGGCTTCTTGGTAACTTTGCATCCTATTAGTCTTAAGTTGAGTTTGGTATCTTTTGATTCAAATAAGGATCTTTGACTCTGTTATGCTTTCTTTAGTGATCTCACTTTTCTGTGCTTGGTAACCCCTTTGTATTTATGTTTAAGTGGTTTTGTGGCCATTAGGTAATTGTAGACTTTATATACAAAACTTATTCAGTCATTTCTTTAAAAGGTAAACTATAGGGCTTAGCACATTGGCTCACGCCTATAATCCCAGCACTTTTGGAGGCCGAGGCAGGAGGATTGCTTGAGCTCAGGAGTTCAAGACCAGCCAGGGCAATATAGTGAAACCCCCATCTAAAAAAACTTAAAAATTAGCTGGGTATGGTGGTGCGCACTTGTAGTCCCAGCTGCTTGGGAGGCTGAGGGGGTGGTGAGAGGATAGCTTGAGTCCAGGAGGTTGAGGTTGCAGTGACCCGTGATCACACCATTGCATTCCAGTCTGGGTGATAGAGGAAGACTCTATCTCAAAAAAAAAAAAAAAAAAAAATTGAATCTATAAACTCGTTTTCAGGAGCTCTGGGATTTGGTGGGAATGGGGCAGTAAGTGCTCTGCTTTGAGATTCAGGTGGTATCTGTTGTCATTTAACCATGATAAAACCAGAAGACTAGAACTGCAAAGAAAATCTACCATCTTAAACTCATATGCTAGAATTTTAAATAATCAAAATAGGAATTTTTTAGTATTTTCTAGTCAATTTTTATCTTCTATTAATGTATTTATCAAAAATTGACTGTAGTTTGTATTGCAAATTTTAATATATAGACATAAAATAAGTTATTTGATACTGTTACTGATATCTAACACTAAAACTCTATTTTATTTTTTACTACAGTGACTGTAAAAAGCTTTATTTTTCTTTCAAGTAAACATGCATTGTTTTATAAGTGCTTCTCATTTTTCCCTTGTTTATATGATAAGCTAGATAGCTGGGTAGCAGGAACACTGAAAAATTTATTTTTAAATAGGTAAATATTGAAGAATGTTGTTTTTAGAAATGCTTAACTACTTTACCTTTTTTGTAACAAACTTCAAAGTTACTGTTGAGGGTAATTTAATAAATGAACTATAAAAGTGTCTTGGGCTCAGTAAAAAAAATTCAATTAAAAAACTCAGTAAAAAAATTCAAAAGAAAGTTTTGAAGTTGTCTACCATTGCCTTTCCATTTGATTCCGTTTATGGTATCATTTGAATTAATTGTTGTCTGTTTTTTCATATTCTGGATTAGGAATGTTTTGAGTCATTGTTGAGTATTCTTCACTGGAGCTGGACCACCTTAGTCTTAGGAGTTGAAGAACTTAGAGGATTAAAAGGATTCCAGTTCACAGCTACACTCCTAGATTTAGAGAGACTGCGCTTTGTGGGTACCTGTTGTCTGAGGTTATTGCGTGTCTATACCTGTGAAATTTACCCAGTGTCAGGTATGATGCATTTTTTTTAAATGACTATAGGGAGAAAATATTAGAGACATTGAGAAGATTTACTTTGAGATAACTGAGAGTTTATGCCCCCCAGCTGCATTTAAGCTGCTTCTAAAATGAGGGGAGAAAGTCAGCTTGCTATGATGCTTATGTATTTGCTTATAAAGAGTAAAATAGATTACATGTCATTCTGATACAAAAAGTAATAGTGGGCCAAAGTTAAATAATCTAATAAAGTTTAATTTTAAACAAATTCTGTCAAATAGAAATATTTTGAACAAGCAATTTGGACTTAAATGCTGAAACTAGGTTTTTATTCCCCCTTCCATTTAGATTAAAAATTGGGACTACACTTAATCTCTAAGTTGTTTCATTTCTAAGATATTAGTACTTGTGATACTTAGCTGTATAGGGAATTACTGAATTATATTGATTGTTTTCATGCATATTTAATATTTTGCTTAATTACCAATCTGCTTTTTCCCCCTCAAAGCTACAGGAAAAGCAGTTGTAGAAGAAACTAGCAAATTAGCAGAGTGTATTGGAAAAACCAGAACTTTGTTAAGAAAAATTTTATCAGAAGGAGTTGATCACTGCATGGTGAAATTGGATAATGATCCTCAAGGATATCTCAGTCAACCCTTGAGTCTTCTAGAAGCTGTCCTTCAGGAATGTCATAATACTTTCACTGCCTGCTTTCATTCTTTCTACCCAACTCCTGCCTTACAGTGGGCTTGCCTTTGTGATCTGCTGAATTGTTTGGATCAGGTAATTTAAGTTTGTAAAATGTTAGTTGAAAATCTGATATATTGCTTAATACTCTTCAAGAAAATAAATTGCAGTTGCCATATCTTCTTAACTTGTATAAAAGATAAATTAGGAAATCATTCGGTGTACATGACTTATATAAGCAAAGTTTAAAATTTTTTAAATCTGCTTCATCATCTTTTAGTTACAAAATTGGTAGGCACATTGTGCAGTTGCTGATTGGTTTTTGAATTGGAGTGAGTGATTCTGAGAGAGGGAGAGAGGAAAAGAACCATAGTGACCAGGGGAGAGCAGGGATAGCACCAGGAGGCCCCCGCCACCCTCATCTGTGAGAACAGGAAGGAGAGAGAGCTGAGAGAACAGTCATACTAGCATTGTTCATTCATTCATGAGGAAGCCACAACCTTTGTAAACCTTTATGCACCAAGTCACAGAGTTTCACAACACCTGAGGCAAAACACTGACAGAACTACAGGGAGAAATAGATTCACATTGACAGCTGGGGACTTTAACACTCCTCTTTCAGTAATTAATAGAGGAACTAGGCCAAAAACATCAGCGATGCAGATTTGAACAGTACTGTCAACCATCTTGATCTGACATTTACAAAACAGGATATGAAACTGCAAAATACATATTCTTTTCAAGTACACATGATTTTTAAAAGAAATATTTGGGACCATTCACTAAGGTAGATCATATGCTAGACCATAAAATGTCTTAATAAATTTCAAAAGATTAAAATGTGAAAGAATATATTTTCAGACCACAGTAGAATTACAGTAAAAATCAATAGCAAAGGATATCCAGAAAAAGCACCAAACATTTGGAAAATGACAGCACTTCTAAGTAAGCAGTTGATCAAAGAAGAAGTTATAAAGGAAATTTTAAAATGTTTCACATAGAAAGATAAAAACATAATATCAGAATTTGTGGGATTTAGCTAAAGCATTGCTTAAAAGAGCTCTTTATACCCTTAAATGCTTATATGAAGAAGAAAGGTTTAAAATCAGTGACCTAAGCTGCTATGTTAAGAATCTAGAAGGAAAAGCAAATCTAACCCAAAGTTAGAAGGAAGGAAGGAAATAATAAAGATAAGAGCAGAAATCAATGAAATAGAAAGTAGAGAAAATTAACACAGCTAAAAGTTGGTTTTTTGAAGAAAAAAAGTTGGTAAACTCCTAGCAAACCTGACTGGGAGAGAAGAGAGAAAGAAAAAACATGAAATACCATAATCAAAAGTGAAATAGGGGTTCACCGGGCACGGTGGCTCATGCCTGTAATCCCAGCACTTTGGGAGGCTGAGGTGGGTGGATCACTTGAGGTCAGGAGTTCGAGACCAGCCTAACATGGCAAAACTCAGTCTCTACCAAAAATACAAAAATTAGCCAGGCATGGTGGTGCACAGCTGTAATCTCAGCTACTCGGGAGGCTGAGGCACGAGAATTGCTTGAAGGCGGGAGGTGAAGGTTGCATTGAGGCAAGATTGTGCCACTGCACTCCAGCCTGGTGACAGAATGATACTCCATCTCAAAAAAAAAAAAAAAAAAAAAAAAAAAAAGAAATAGGGACTATCACTATAAACAACTTTATACTGGTGAATTTTTCAGCCTTAGAGGAAGTTGACAAATTCCTTGAAAAATATAATTTTATCAAAACTAACACATTAAGAAATAGAAAAATCTGAATTGCCTCATATCCATTTAAAAATTATCAAAAACTTTCCCACAAAGAAAATTTCAAGTCCAAATATTGTCATTTATGAATTCTGTTAAACATTTAAGAAAGAAATAATGTCAACCTTTTACAAAGTCTTTTGGAAAATACAGGAGGCAACACTTCCCAACTAATTTTATGAGTTTAGCTTTATCCTATACCAAAACCTAACTAAGATACTACAAGGAAAAATTACAGATGAATATCACTCAGAAACATAGATGCTCTTAAAAATATTATCAAACCAAATTGAACATGTAAACAATATATCATAACCAAGTGGGATTTATCTTAGAAATACTTAGTTAAATAATTGAAAATCGATGTAATTTACCATGTTAACTGAAAAAAGAAGGCAAATTGATGATTTCCTCCATATAGCTACAGGAACAGTGGTTGATGAAACTAGCAGTTACTCAATGATGAAAACCTCTCAGGAAAGTAGGATATAAGGAAACTCCTAAATCTGATAAAAAGATATTTACAAAAAAATCTTCACTAACAACATCCCACTTACTGGTGAAATCTGAATATGCCCCTAAGTTTGGAAACAAGACACGTGGTATCTACACTCACCACTTATATTCAGCAGTGCACTGGAAGTCCTAGGCCTCCCCGCCCTCCTTCGTGAAAAAAATCATTGTCATCACTAATGCATCCCAGGCAACTTTGCATCCATGTAGCAGAGTAGTATGTTTTACCACTCAATTTCCAGGGGCAAGATTATTGCCTGGACTAGTGCACAACTTAATTACTCTCTCACTCTGAACCTTCCCAGTCTGATATGGTTCTTTTCTTCTTTGCTACAGAACAGGCTAGATTTAGCAAATGTTGGTTTAACATATGGAATGTTACTCTGCTTTTATGCTTAACTTTGTAACACAGATGTTTGAAGGACTAGGTAATGTGTACACAATTTTGTGAATTAGGATATCATGTGTTGGCTTTAATGCTTTTTTATGAAATTTTGTAAGTATGCTACTAATTTTTCTTGGTAAATTATGGAATGTGATAATATAATTTTGTGACCTTAGTGAAATGTGCTTGTAATAGCACAGATTTATAATTTGCATCATTTATTATTTGAGAAAAATAGTCTCAGTCCTTATTGAAAATACCTTAGATACATTCTAATTGGGGCCTTTTTGGCATCTCCCTTTGAAACAGTGCTAGAGAGTACTGTGATTGTGAGGATATGAAAATATAAAAATGCTCATTTACTAGAGGACAGGAGCCTGATTTTTCTTGACCAGACTTAATTTTTCATCTTCATTGAATAGAAACTTAAACAATTTTTTAAATATATAGATGTAGTATTATTCTATAACAAGACAATTTAAATGACAGAGTGACAGAAAATTTTGGTATAATTTAAAAGATGGTTTACCTTTTATGTATTCAGAAACTTAGATTATACTGATGCTATATTTTTTGGTTGGGGGGCCATATTTTTGTTTTTAAAAGGATATCCAAGAAGCAAACTTCAAGACATCAAGTAGCCGACTCCTTGCAGCTGTTATGTCAGCTCTGTGTCACACGTCTGTTAAGCTGACTTCCATCTTCCCGATTGCGTATGATGGAGAAGTATTACTACGATCAATTGTTAAACAAGTTAGTACAGAGAACGACTCAACACTAGTTCATCGTTTTCCCCTTTTGGTGGCACATATGGAAAAACTCAGCCAGGTAGGTCTGTCTCTGAAATCTTTTATACAGAGGCACTAAAACTCTAAATGGTTTTATTTATTGCCTCTTTTATACAGAGGCAATAAAACTATAAACACACCAAGCTAAGCGTATTTAGCTTGGTGCTTATTCTTCTCTATTTTTAAGTATATTTACAAAATGATTATTTTAAATATTTTTGAAAAATGTTCATATTTACCTATAAAATGAAGTTTTTTTGCTCTAACGGTTTAATCACACACCTTTAAAAAAATTTGAGAGTTATACAATGAATACCTACATATTTGTTTTTCCTGAACCATTTGAAGGTAAGTTGCAGATACTTTACATTCTAATATAATATTTTAGATTTCTAAGATAGAACAATAAGAAAATAAAGGATTTTTAAAATATCTACTTAATAACACTTTGGTATATTAAAATAAGCACTGTAAATAATAGGTATAGGAAACATTCACATAAATCATTTTCATGCTGGAAATCAGCTAAATTAATCATCTTTTCCCTTTTTTCTGAAAAATAAAGTATTTTTCCTTTATTGAGACTCTGTGACTTCTTGAAATTTTTCTACCGGTAGGGGTTGGAATTTTCTTATCTCCACTTAGGAAAACAAATACAGTAGAAATTATAAAACTACATAGGAATCATATGTGTGTACAAAAAGAATTTTGTTAAAAAAGTGATTTACACAGACTACAGTTGCATTACAGCTAAATATACTAGAATTTATTATCTCAGATTAAGACCTTGTCCTATAGAAAAAGCTTTTTATTTTTGTTTTTTAAGACTAGCTCATTCTGTCACCCAGTCTACAGTGCAGTTGTGCCATCGCAGTTTACTGCAACCTCAACCTCCTGGACTCAAACGATCTTCCCACCTCAGCCTCCCAAGTAGCTGGGGCTGTAGGCACATACCACCACACCCAGCTAACTTTTTAAAAAAACATTTTGTAGAGACAAAGTCTTACTATGTTGCCCAAGCTGGTCTCAAACTCCTGGCCTCAAGTGATCCTCCCATCTCAGCCTCCCAAAGTGCTGGTATTGCTGACACCACGCCCAGCCAAAAAAGCTTTTTAAATGGAAAGAAGTTTTCTGTCTGTCATATAGAATTGTAAATTGAAAGTTAAATAAGAGAATAAAATAGGACTCAAAGCTAATAAAAACATTTCGTAAATGTATGGTACTTTGATACGCAGAGACAGATAATTCAAAAAAGAACTTCTAAGTGAAAAGTGGCTCCACATATAACCAGAAAGATTTGTAGAAATTGACCCTGATTCAAGTCTGAATTTTAAGAGTATCAGAAAGACAAGGTTTTCAAATTGAGTACTCCTATGAAGGAAAATAAAACAATACCTTAGAACTTTTTCTTATGTATCGCAGAGTGAAGAGAATATCTCAGGGATGACAAGCTTCCGTGAAGTTCTGGAGAAAATGCTGGTCATTGTTGTGCTACCAGTCAGGAACAGCCTGAGGAGAGAAAATGAACTCTTCTCCTCCCACCTCGTCTCTAACACCTGTGGATTACTGGCCAGCATTGTCAGTGAACTGACAGCGTCAGCCCTGGGATCTGAGGTAATACATTATATTTTGACACTGGATAAAAAGCACATGTGTAAGTTTTTTACACAGTTTCTTTTTTCAACTATTTTGGCTTTGTGGAAGCTAATTTCAGATTGGATTAGCAACCCCAATGCATTGTTTTTCTTTTTTGCCTTTCTCTCCACCTCCTACTTTCTCTGATTTGTTACTTCTCTCTCACCAGTTTACCCAGCATCCACAGGAATATAAAGTATACATTTTCCTCATAGAGCAGGTCGTCATCTGCCCCATTGCACAAGCCCACCACCATGCCCCGTGAAAAGCAAAGATAGTTCTCACTGCTGGAAGATGAGTAACATTGCTGAAGTCAGGCCCTACTCATAGTGCACACATAGTGTGGGAAAGGTAATGAGGTTTAGACTTCAGCTCTGCCCACTCAACCGACCCTAGAGAAATACATACTTAAAATTGGAATAATAATTTTTATTTCACCTCTATCACAGGTTTTTTGAAATTATAGTAAAATATACATAATATAAAATTTGCCATTCTAATCATTTTTACGTGTACAGTTCAGTGGCATTAAATGCATTCACTTTGTTGTACTTAGTTGTACATTATCACAAAGTTTTCAAAGTCTCAAATATTATGTTTGAGAAAATCACTTTGAAAGTGCCTTTACATTTTGTAAAGTAACATTATTCCATTTCACTGCCTTACTCTTTCTTATAACTTAACTGAATGTTTTGACTGAATTTGGGGAATGTTTCTGTTTTTTCCTCCTAAAAAACAGACAGTAGATTGGTTTGGAAAATCATGTCCTAATATGAAATATCTTACATCATTCAAATGAATGTTTAATAATCAGCATATATTCAGTGGCCCTAGCTCCCAAGTTCTTGTCAAGGAACTTCTTTTCTCTATTTTACTTTTATAATTCCTAATCTTTGCTTTTTTTAAAAAATTTATTTTAACACCTATTCTGAATTAACCCATCCAATATATACACATTATTGATTAATTGTGACAGTTTAGCCTTTAGAATTTCATTGTATGAAATTCATACGTAAGAAATTCGCATACATATGGTTCATCGCATACACTTGAGCTAATTTTAGTCTCTCATCCTGGGAAGCACTTTCTAAGTTTCTTGGTTAACTTTGAGTTTGGCCTCAGAGACGATTGAAGCCCTTGTCAGAAATTTTTTAACTTTTTACATTTACTCATTTAGTCTATAATACCTTCCTTTGATAGTATACTCTGCAGGATGCAGGAAAGTCTATAATGTGTAGATCCCCTTCCAAAGTTTACTAAAGAGTTCTCCCCTTTAAACTTACCTTTCCAATGAAAAGGAATACCAAAAGTTACAGGGTGCCTGGTATACAACTTTGGGAGTTCCCACAGGTCCTGGCTTAGAGATGAATATTTCTTTCTCAGAGAAGTTTGCAATTTTTGTTAGAATCATAAACTTCCATTTTTGTATCTATTTAGTCTCCCAAAATTCTGTAGCCAAGTTAGATTAGAAGTAGGCTTTGTAAATAAAAAGAGCGATTTCAACCCAAAGTAAGTTCTCTAATTCTCTCTAGTGAAAGTCTATAATTAGTATAGTTGCACATGTGTATGTGTACGTATTCAAATACTGAATGCTGTTACAAAAATATCACTGTATATATTCGTAGTATTCAATCTTAGGGTATAGACCATTTTCTTCAAATGAAGTTTTACTTGCAAATTCACAGGTAAGAGGAGAGAGGACATAGTCTGGTTGAAGAGGGGAACCATAAATTTACCTCTTCCTTGCACACCTATCTCTGCAGAATTTCTAGAGCTCTGTGTTGCATAGTTTGAAAACTGTTGATCTATAGAATTTCGATGAAATTTTTAGCATCTCTTTTCAAAGTCTGATGATTTATTCATACATTATGACTGATAAGACAAGCTTGTACTTCTGACATTATAAATTAAGTGGAAAGTATAGTTTCATATGGCTAAAGGAAGAAAATACTGTCAAGTGACATTGATTTGTGAATTTAGAATGATAAAATCTGGTTTTATTGTGAGTTAATCTCTCAGTAGAACATACCTTTAGGAATGTTTATATCCACTTATTAAATAAAGGTTATTTTATTAGACTTCTTAGAAACCTTTGGATGGTTTTGTTAAAGGTATACCAACTACTGATACAATTGCTTTTATTGTTCACAGGTTGATGGACTTAATTCTCTTCACTCTGTAAAAGCTAGTGCTAACCGATTTACAAAAACAAGTCAGGGCAGAAGTTGGAACACTGGGAACGGGTCCCCTGATGCAATCTGTTTTTCAGTAGACAAACCTGGAATAGTTGTGGTTGGTTTCTCTGTCTATGGAGGAGGTGGAATTCATGAATATGAATTAGAGGTGTTGGTTGATGATGTAAGTATCACCCTTTTAGTATTTATCCTGATTAGTGGGTTGTGTATCAGGATTTACCATTGTCATAGTATGTTCAGGGGTTTACTAGATCAATCACTGATGAATGACACTAAAGAAATTGAAAAAGACTGGCCACAGTGGCTCACACCTGTAATCTCAGCTCTTTGAGAGGCTGAGGCAGTTGGATGACTTGAGCACAGGAGTTCAAGGCCAGCCTAGGCAATATGGCAAAACCCTATCTCTACGAAAAATACAACGCACGCCTGTAATCCCAGCTACTCTGGAGGCTGGGGTGGGAGGATCACTTGAGCCCGGGAGGTTGAGGCTGCAGTGAGCCATAATCATGCCACTGCACTCAAGCCTGGGCAGCAGAGTGAGACCCGACCCTGTCTCAAAAAAAAAAAAAAAAAAAAGAAAGAAAAGAAATTGAAAAATAATGATTTTACCTGATTGTTTGTGTTCCATCTTTCCACCTTGGGTCACTACTGCTTCATATTTTTTGTACTTTCAGAAAGAGAAAGATTTAAAGTAGAATTAAAGACTAAAAGTGTTTAGCTAAGTCCCTGATGACAAGTCTTGAGTAGTTTTTTTTTTTTTTTATATTGTCATTTTTCAAGAAACACAATGTTGAGATGGACTATGTCATAGAGTACTAATGGGTGATTCTTAGTGAAGACACTATTTGTTGACTGATTGAGCTATATCTTTCTATATTCTCTAAAATTAAAGTACCTGAGTTTTATTAAAATGGGACAGATGGGGTAGCATGTAAATCATTGCCTATTAAATAGCAAGTCTATCTCTATCTCTAACTTGATTCCTTTCACTAGTTAATTTGAATTTATTCCCTACTTCATTAGGCTTTATAAATGTGAAGAAGTAGAAATAGTTTAAGTCATCAGATGAGAAAAGCTTATTTATGTTGTAGTCTTCTCAAGAAATCACATAAAAATGTATATAGTACCCCCAACTTTTTCTTTCATATGTATGGGAAAATACTAATGGCTAATTTTATATTCAAGAAAATAAATTTTAAAAATAATAATTATAAATCAAAATTGTTCATACAATAAAATTAAGAGTCTGTTGGAATTTTTGTGTTTCATTTTTTTTTTTTAGAGTGAACATGCAGGAGATTCAACTCATTCCCACAGATGGACATCTCTGGAATTAGTGAAAGGAACGTACACAACGGATGACTCACCCAGTGATATAGCTGAGATCAGACTTGACAAAGTGGTTCCTTTAAAGGTAGTTTCAACTGAATGTTTCTATTGTGAATAAGAGGTATTATTATGTAGTTAAAATAGTGAAGAGTATTCCATGAATTTTGTTTGTTACCTATAGCTATTTGTAAGTTATCCTTTATATGGTACTTAAATATTTATGGAGTACCTACTACGTACCTAATGTTGTACCACATTATATTATATTTTTGCATAATGTTTCTTAAAGTCAGGAGTAGTAGGAAGTTTTGTAGTCAAACAGACTTAGCTTTGGATACCTGCTGTTCCACATGCTGACTTTAAGACACTGGCAGATCATTATTTAACCACTTTGAGACTTATCTGTAGATTGGGAAGAATAATACCTGCATTGTAGTAGTATTGAGATTAAATAATGGAAATAAAACACCTGCCTTAGTGTCTAGCACAATATGAAAAATAAATATTAGCTCCTGTCTTTTCTTCTCTTATTGTGCCCTAACTCATTTAAAAAAAAAAAAAAGTGTTTTTGTTTTGTTTTGTTTTGTTTCTTTATTTTTTTTTAATTATTATTATTATTTTTTTTTAGATGGAGTCTCACTCTGTCGCCCAGGCTGGAGTGCAGTGGTGTGATCTTGGCTCACTGCAACCTCTGCCTCCCGGGTTTAAATGATTCTCCTGTGTCAGCCTCCCGAGTAGCTGGAATTACAGCCACGTGCCACTATGCCCAGCTAATTTTGTATTTTTAGTAGAGGGGTTTCACTGTGTTGACCAGGCTGGTCTCGAACTCCTGCCCTCAAGTGATCCACTCCGCTTGGCCTCCCAAAGTTCTGGGATTACAAGCGTGAGCCACCGCGCCCAGCCTATTTCCTAACAATATTTGGCAAAATAGAGAAATTTTACCACATCAAAGTAATTATAGATGTTAAAATAAAATTAAAGTATTTCTGAATTCAACTGAAATAAATTTCATTATAGAGCAGAATTTTGGATAAGATCGGTACACGAGAGGTTTCATCAGGAAGAATTTAGATACTGAAAAACCAAAAAGCTTTTATTGTGAAATTTATATCATGGGTCATAAAGCATTAGTTTCTATAGCTCACATTTTAAAAGTACAGTGCATTATATTTTGGACAGCTTTTTTCCTATGGGTTTTTTTTCTCATGTCTGTTTGCCTATATATTTCTATCTCTGAGTTTTTCTTAAAAATATAATAGACTCACCATTTTTTTCCTCACATCTAAAATTATTTTAAAAGTTAAACTAGTCAAGGAAAAGTATCAGCTTATGCAATTAAAATCCCTTATTGCCGGGCACAGTAGCGCACACCTGTAATTCCAGTACTTTTGAGACACCAGGGAGGGAGGATCACTTGAGCTTGGGAGTTTGAGGCTAGGCTGGGCAATATAGTCAGACCTTATCTCTACAGAAACACCCTAAAAAATTAACTGAGTGTGATGGAACACACCGGTGGGAGGATTGCTTGAGCCCAGGAAGAGGAGGCCACATTGAACCAAAATTGCACCACTGCACTCCAGGCTGGGTGACAGAGCAAGATCCTGTCTCAGAAAAAAATATATATATATAATATATAAAATATATATATATTATATATATATAATATATATTATATATATATAGTATGGCTAATATTCTAGCAGTAAAATTAAGAGCAGGCACTAGTTACATTGGTTGTGTTCAGACCTAGTTCCATCACTTACTAGCTGCGTGACTTTGAACAAGTTACTTAACTTCTCTGAACCTCAGATTCCTCATCTGTAAAATAGGGATAGTAATGATACTTACCTTATGAGGTCATTTTAAGGATTAATTAAATTCCATAAAGTAGTTAGGACAGTTGCTTTTATGCAACAGGTGTTCAGTAAATGTTAGCCGTCATCGTGTTTGATTCATTAAAAACTTATTTAATTATATCATCTGTAAATATGACAAAGAATTTCAGTATATTTGCCTATTTTACTGCTAGAGTTCTTTTTATATATCCTCTGTACATTGTGAATAAAAGATGTTTTACATCTTTATAATGAAGGAAAATGTTAAATATGCTGTGCGCTTGAGGAACTATGGAAGCCGTACAGCCAATGGAGATGGAGGAATGACCACAGTTCAGTGCCCTGATGGTGTGACATTCACATTCAGCACGTGCAGCTTGAGCAGTAACGGCACAAACCAAACCAGAGGACAGATCCCACAGATACTCTACTATAGGTGGGTGAATGTATAGAGATAACGGAAATACTTTACAGTGGTAGAACATACACAGTCTACTACCAGGTAAAATTGCTAACTGGATACTTATAATTAAATTGTACAGTGTATCTTCTTAGCACATACTTGTACAAATTCATATAAAGAAATCTCTTTTTAATATATAAATTCAATGTTTGCTACAAAAGTTAATGCTTTAAAATATTTTTGCTGTTATTTCTTCAATATCATTGAAATGTTTGTGTACTGGGCATATGTGCTGTTGCTGTCACTCTATAATTTCTGGTCTGCAATTTCAAATTTAAAGGATATTCATTTCTTTTTATAAAATACCTCAAACTAATGATCAGATAGACTGTACTCAGATAGTGGTGTTGCCTTGATCTTGTTATCTAGTCACAGAATATTTTGATGTCTGTGAATCTTGGACCTGCCCCCTGGGGCCCTAGAATATATAATAGTGTGTTTCTTATAATGTTTTTAACAAAAACCATTCCTTATGTAAACCTTGGAAAATAAAAGAATGATAACAACCCTTGGGTTAAAAAAATCTTTTAAATAAACATTTCTCACTGAGTCTGAATTTTTCTTGTAGCGGCAAAGCTGGCGTCTTAGGTAGTCATGAGTACCATTTACCACATTTGTCCTCAGCCTGACTTGGCATTAAATCACTGAATTTCCATGTCACTTTCAGAGGCTTGCTGCTTCCTCTCTTTCCTTCATGAAGAGTCTAGGGATGGTGCCTACGTAGATAGTATAAAATAATTTCCCTAGATATAGATTTTCTGCTTCCTCTTTCCATCAGAAATAGAATAGAAATAGCAGGCAGCAAATAGCTATGTAGTTCATTGTTGCTGCTGAAATACAAAAGCTGTCTAGTCTTTTGCCCCAGTCAAGAAAAGCTTTCTGTTACATAAGCACTACAATAAATAGTACATTATTCTCTTTCTTAAACTATGGATTAAAAACTCTGTTATGCGTAAGAGTTACGTGTTTCAGAAAGCTGGAGAGCCACTAAGAGCATCTGCCATCCAAACTTTATATCTTATACAAAATACAGTGTTTTGAGTATTTTCATGTTTTCTATTAAGCTTTAAATACCCTTAGCTTTACATTTTTTATAAATGAAAAATGTTAAAGTCCTTTAGTTTTAAATACCATCCTGCTCTGATAGCTCCCAAGTTTACATCCCTAGCCTTCATGACCTCTGAGCCCTGGACTCCGGGTCTCTCTTCTGACATCTTCATTTGGATGACACTAGTGGAGATGGTGTTAGTTACTGTGTGCCAGGACATGCTTTGAGTATGTTACCTGTGTTATTTCACCTTGTCCTCACAGTAACCCCAGGAGGTAGGTACTTTCCTTATCCCTGTTTCACAGATGATGGAACTGAGACGCTGAATTGTCTAGAGTCACACCTCTGTTAAGTTACGCTACTGCGACTTGTAGGCAGGAAGTCAGATTTCAGGTGATACACCCTTAACCAGAATGCTGCACTTTCTCTTTAAGGATGTTCGTTATAGTTGGCTAGTAGACATCTGAGGTTTCATGTGGCTAGAATATTCATCTCCCTTCCACAGTTACAGCCAGACACCTTGGAGTCATTCTGGACTTCTCTTTCCCTCATACTTTACACCTAGTTCATCAAGAAGTCCTGTCAGCTGTACTTCTAAAATGTCCTAAATGTGACCTTTTCTTCTACTTCCATATTTAATAGTCTAGACCAAGCCACTGCAACCTCTACCTGCTAACTGTAATAAGCCTCTAAACTAGTCTCCCTCCTTTCACTATTGGTCTCCTACAATCAGTTCTCTACAGCACAGCCAGAGTGATCTGATAAAAATATAAATCATACCAAGTTCCACCCTTGCTCCAAACCCAGCTTCCCATTCTCATACCAGTATAAAATGTAAAGTCATTATGTGGCCTACAAACCTTACACAATTTGACTCTTGTTTCCCTTCCCACCCATCACGCTTCACTCTTTCTCCTTTTCTTCCAGCCATACATGTCTTCATTCTGTTCCTTTAATTCACCAGTATGTTCCTTTTGCCCTGACAGTTTTCCCTCAGCTCTTCGCGTGGGTCTTTAAAAAAAAAAAAAAATTCAGGTCAGCTGGGTGCGCGGCTCACTCCTATAATCCCAGCACTTTGGGAGTCCAAGATGGGTGGATCACGAGGTCAGGAGTTTGAGACCAGCCTGGCCAACGTGGTGAAACCCCATCTCTACTAAAAACAGAAAAATTAGCTGGGCGTGGTGGTGCATGCCTATAATCCCAGCTATTTGGGAGGCCGAGGGAGGAGAATCGCTTGAACCTGGGAGGCGGAGGTTGCAGTGAGCCGAGATCATGCCACTGCACTCCAGCCTGGGCGACAGAGCAAGACTCTGTCTCAAATAAGTAAATAATTTAATTAATTAATTCAGGTCTTTGTTAAATATGAGTTCCTCGGAGAACTGATCTTATTTAAAATAACACCCTTCACTTTATGCCCTATGCTGCTTTGTTTTTCTTCAAAGCCCTTATCATTCCCTATTATTGTATAGTTGCATGTTTACTTTTTTAACTTTTAAAAAGCTATAAATTAAATGAGGATCTCAGATCTAGATATGATTTCTGGCACTGGATCATGTTTTACTTACCATTGTAAAATAATCTCATGTTTGCTCATGCTACAGGAGTGAATTTGATGGAGATTTACAATCCCAACTTCTGAGTAAAGCCAATGAAGAAGATAAAAACTGTAGCAGAGCATTGTCTGTTGTAAGCACTGTCGTTCGAGCCTCTAAGGACCTCCTGCACAGAGCTCTTGCTGTGGATGGTAATATTTTTTCTTTCTCAGTAGTCATATTTTAGATTCTTTATTCACTAAATTTTTGCATAGAATTATTGAAGAGGAGCCTTCTATTATACAATTTTATAGAATCTAAGTGTTATTTATAGATCCACCCATGGATTAATTTTGGATAGGTCACACTCTCCATACTGTAATGCAGAATTATTTAGAATGCTCAAAAGGAGTTACCATATATTCTTATTTTCTTAGTTAATTTAGTAAAAGAAAAATTGTATTTGAGTTAAACTGGGTCTTTATTCTTCTTTTAGTAATCAAAAAGCTTTTTCTTCCTCTCTGTTCTTTTTCCAGTAATGTATCGCTATCCACCCAAAACTCTGGGGTACCCTAACCATCTCCTCAGAGGCACTTGTCTAAATTCAGCTCTATGAGTTTTTCCATTGGAATCTCTCTAGTTTGTATTCTCCTCTCTTTCACTTCTTCTCCTGCTGTCATTTAGACTGCCATGGTGCAAGTACATTTCATTTTTTAATATAGGGTTAATATCCCGATAATCTCACTGCTGCCTTTCCCCCATTCTCCATCTAGTTGTTTAGTTATTCTTCACACTGGCAGCAGAGTTATCATTATGAAAACATGGTTATGGCCGGACATGGTGGCTCATGCCTGTAATCCCAGCACTTTGGGAGGCCGAGGAAGGCAGATCATGAGGTCAGGAGTTTGAGACGAGCCTGAGCAACATGGTGAAAGCCCATCTCTACTAAAAATAAAAAAATTAGCCAGGCGTGGTGGCAGGTGCCTGTAATCCTAGCTACTCAGAAGGCTGAGGCAGGAGAATCGCTTGAACCCAGGAGGCGGAGGCTGCAGTGAGCCGAGATCGCACCACTGCACTCCAGCCTGGATGTCAGAGTGACACTCCATCTCAAAAAAAAAAAAAAAAAGTTACCTCCACCTCCTTATTGTATAACATTAATTCCTAAACCTAGTTTAACATCAGAACCACCTGGAAAGCTTGCTGAAAATAAAGACTATTAGATTTATCCCCAGGTCCTGAAGCTAGGCTAAAAAACTATTTTTTAAATAAGTGTGCAGCCTGTTTTGATATAACAGCAGACCTAGGAATCAGTATTTGGGAGAATAATTGGCTTATAAAATAAAGGTCTTCACAGTATAGGCTCAGCTTATCTTTCCAGCACCATGTTCATGGATAACTGACTAAAATGTTAATCAGCAAAGTGCTTTTCTTGGAAAAACAGAAAGCAATGTAGCTTAATAACAGTAAACATTTTTGGAGTGCTGAATATGTGTAGGTGTTGTTCTAAGTGTTTTACATATATTACCTCGTTTAATCTTCCCAACATCCAAATGAGAGGAATACTGTTGTGAACCTAAGTTACAGAGTAAGTAATTTGCCTAATGTCACTGATACAGCCATGTTTGGTGCCAGAATGGTAATTTAAAATAAAGACTCCATTACCCTAGGTTCTGATTCCAGCTCTATTATTTTACAGGTACATGTACTTATGTATTAAGTATTTTGGGTAAGATACTTAAACCCTATGTGCCATGGTTTTCCTTTCTGAAAATTGGGGATAATAAAAGTATCTTATTGTGAGTATTAGTTGAGATAAGGCATGTATTCTCAAAAGCCTTTAGAATAGTACCAGGCCCTTGACAAGCACCCAATTGGTGTCAACTATAGTTTCGCTCAAAAGAGCAGAATATAGATTTAGTACAGCATGTATGCAGTACAATGAAATTACCTTCTGACTATAGTTTTAATGCCTTTTATGCCTTTTTTTAGCTGATGACATTCCAGAACTGCTGAGTTCTTCCAGTCTGTTTTCCATGCTGCTCCCCCTTATTATAGCCTACATAGGACCAGTAGCTGCTGCTATTCCCAAGGTGTGTAATTTAATTCTATAACTTTGAATGTTTTTTTTAAATATCTTTTTTAAAAAAAGACTTTGTGTCTTGTCTTTACAAAAACTTGCATCTTTGAGGCATCTGGGATATAGGTAACAAGCAGAGATAGATCTGCTAATTATTAAACTTCTCTCTTCTTAGTATTGTTTACTGGATTGCTGTGCTTATTTGTTGGCTTTTTTTTTTTTTTTTTTTTTGAGACGGAGTCTTGTTCTGTCACCCAGGCGGGAGTGCTGTGGCGCGATCTCCGCTCACTGCAAGCTCCGCCTTCCGGGTTCACGCCATTCTCCTGCCTCAGCCTCCCGAGTTGCTGGGACTACAGGCGCCCGCCACTGCGCCCGGCTAATTTTTTGTATTTTTAGTAGAGACGGGGTTTCACCGTGGTCTCGATCTCCTGACCTCGTGATCCGCCCGCCTCGCCCTCCCAAAGTGCTGGGATTACAGGCGTGAGCCACCGCGCCCGGCCTGTTGGCTTTACATTTGAAGAATCTGTGAATGGGAAATAGATTTTAGCAATTTTAGGAATATGATATGTAAGGAAAGATTATGTTAACTGAGGTTTTTCACATTTATGAGGTTGATGCCAAATGGTCTTCATTAATAACAATAGCAATGTTAAAGGATAAGAGTGTTTTAAAATAGTGACATATTCAAGAGATGGAAGAAATGATAAACTATTGATTCTTTGGCATAATTAAGTAAAACCTGATTTACTTCAGATCATGAAAAAACAAGTTTTTAAAAATATAGATTTAGATATTGTCATGTAACATCTAAGATAAATCTTTTTTTAATCAATTGAAAGATTTCTCTTTGGACAAAAACTTAACTAGTGGAAAATTTAGATGGAAATTGTTATTAGAGTAACCAACAATTATTGTAATGCATAATTTTAGAACCACTTTCACGTGTATCTCATTTAACCATATTTTTATATGTGTACTAGGTGGCTGTAGAAGTCTTTGGCCTTGTCCAACAATTGCTTCCGTCAGTTGCCATTTTGAATCAGAAGTATGCACCGCCTGCCTTCAACCCTAATCAGTCGACAGATAGCACCACAGGAAACCAGCCTGAACAGGGCCTCTCTGCTTGTACAACCTCCAGTCACTATGCTGTCATAGAGAGTGAGCACCCGTATAAACCTGCCTGTGTGATGCATTACAAGGTAGGCACCGGTTCTTAGTGTGATTCGAATGTAAAACTTGGCATGAGGTTCTCTGATGATATCTTAAAGAATGCCTGGCCTGTATTTACAAGTGTATTTTCTTTTATAGTATTTACATATAGAGAATCAGCAGGTGATTAGGCACTGTTGGATATATAAAATAATTTAAGATGGAATTTTTATCTCAAAGATGATAAAATTTTATTGGTTTATGAGAGTTGTTCTTAAATCTTCCTACAAGTATAGTGTGGTATATAATGCTAAACTTCATGCTGTGATTTGCAATAGTAGTAGATATAAGCATTAACAATTTTAAATTGTATTTTTTGAACTAACATTATTTGTACCACAGCCTGAGCTCTGAAAATTTACAACCCCAATGTAAGATTTAAAGTAGTCTATACATAATGTTAAAAAAACTATGTATAAAATGTTTATAAATTTAATGTTATTAGAGAGTATTCAAAATCCGTATTCTTTGTTTTTTCATTGTATCATGCAAATTAAGGAAGAGAAGGATAAACTTGTATTTTGTGTGCTTGTAAAATATTCCACTTTTCATGGTAGAAACTATTAAGCATATAGAAGTAAACAAGCTAGTACAGTGCACTTGTTTATCCATCATCCCAGATTCAGCAGTTTCAACTGTTAGTCAGACCTGTCTTATTTATTCCCAACCTACTTCCTAACCTCCTATATTGTTTTAAAGCACATTTATGATATTTATTGATACAATGTCTCCAAAATATAAAGACCCTTAAATATAACCATAGTATTATCACATTGAAGAAAACAATTTAATGTCTGCAAACATCATGTAAATTTTTAATAATTTGAGTTAGAATCCATATAAAATCCATATATTGTGATTAGTATGTCTCTTAAGTCCCCTTTAATCTTAAGTCCCTTTAAATCTATAAGTCTCCCTCTGTCTCTCTCTCTTTTTGTTCCCTTGAGTTCTATTTGTTGAAGAAACTGGATCCTATGTATTTGTTAGATGGGAGCCTCTTCAGCTTACCTGCTGGTTCTTTCAGACACCCCTCTTGCAGTCATTCCTAGCTTCCTTGCTTTCTGGTAGGATAAGATGTTCCAGGCTCCCTTTATATGTTTGATGCCTCAGACTTGGAACTAACCATTTTTTCAAAGTGTCCTGATTTCTGTTATACATACACACACATGTTATATTTATATATGTATATACATAAATGTATATATGTTTATGTACAGATAGATTTATGTGTATAGTTTTTTAAAGATAAAATACCTCATGAGTTTATACTGTTGATACTAATTCAAACAAGGACCACAGACACACCTCAGTCTCCTTTCTCTTATATCTAAAATTCCTATTAGTGACACTGGGAATATCAGAATTAGAAAATCATTAAATTATTTCATTTGGTGTGTGTGTGTGTGTGTGTGTGTGTGTGTGTGTGTGTGTGTGTGTGTGTATGTGTGTGTTTTGTCTTTGAAGTATATCCCATCTAAGTGTATGTCAAATTACTGTGTTTAAAGTAAGTTGGAATGCTCCCTCTGCATGATTATGCATTCATTGGATATACACTTAGAGAGTCATTTATTTTATCTTAGATTTTAGGAATTGCTTTTTAAATTTGGATTTTGTTTTATAATTCTTTACATAATTACATACTTTGAAGTCAAATTTATGAAACAAATCTAGCTTTTATCTCTGTCCTCTTTACTCTGTTCCTCCTTCTCTGTCATAGGTAACATTTTATTCTATTTTAATTTTGTACTTTATCCTGTTGTGTCATTTAATAAAAGCATAGACACACACACACATACAGATGCAGATGTGTATGTTTGTGTATATATATATCTGTATTCATGTCACTTTGCCTGTTGACCTCAGGTGACATTCCCAGAATGTGTGAGGTGGATGACAATCGAATTTGACCCTCAGTGTGGTACTGCACAGTCAGAAGATGTCCTTCGTTTGTTGATTCCTGTCAGAACTGTTCAGAATTCAGGATATGGACCAAAATTGACATCTGTTCATGAAAATCTTAATTCATGGATAGAATTAAAGAAATTTTCAGGATCCTCTGGGTGGCCTACTATGGTTTTGGTGTTGCCAGGTAAGTTTTTTTTTTCTTCTGTTTTATGTGGTAAAATAAGTGCATTTATGTATATTTAGTAAGGGTGTATCATTGAAAATGTTTATCTAATTTTTAGAGAAATTTATTAAAGACCTACTATGTATCTGGATTGCATTCGAGGAATAAATAAGGTACCCTGGGCAAGGGGCACAGCCTGATCTGAGTTTTGGAGAAGACAATGTTTTAAGGATTTTGTGAAAAAAAGATTAGCTTGAGCAAAGCAGAGTGTTAACGTTGAGGAGTAGCTAGCTGTCTGTGTAGTTGGGTCCAAATTATAGAAAACAATGGATTAGATCTTTTATTTTCCCAGGAAGTGCTAAATTTTCAGAACTTACCTAAGGACTGAAGTCCTTCATTGTAAGAGAATTCGTAAACCACTTTCTTGTGTGAAGAGAAACTATGTTTTAAAACTTATGGTTTGTTGCATTCTTAACCAGTTAACCAGGACTACTCTTGTGATCCTTCAAACTAATAGGCAATTTCATTTCAGAAACTTCTTCTTTCCACTCTGACCTGCCTATTTGTTTGTTTGTTTGGGAAAAGATCAGAAAAAGCCACACTCCAGGGTAGAGGATTGCCCACTTTGAAAAATAAAAAGGCTAACCTCAGTATTTGACAAATAATTGAAAAATGATTGCCCATGTAACTGAAGTACTTTATTAAGCAGGGGAGTTTGATTATGAAAAAAAGTAACAATTCATTTGCGATAGACCTGTTGTTTCTAGTGTTATTTTTGGTACAGTTTCCTCAAGTAGATATAGGAACGCTCCCCGCCGCAAGTCTATTTAAGTTATGTAGTATATGATTTGTGTTTTTACCTATCTTGTGATAAAAGAGAAAGTCCATTGGATAAAAGACAGGGAAATTTTTATAAAATTGTTTTAGAGTTTGAACTCAATTCTGGCATTTTTATTAGGAAATGAGGCCCTTTTTTCATTGGAGACTGCATCAGATTATGTGAAAGATGACAAAGCTTCTTTCTATGGTTTTAAGTGTTTTGCAATTGGATATGAATTTAGCCCTGGACCTGATGAGGTAAGAATGAATTATCTTTTCATTCTTTTAAGGAAGATTGTGTTTCTAAGGGCTAGTGAGTTGTGCTTCTAACTGACTTAAATTGTACTGTTGCCTCTATTCGAAAAATTGGGGCCTGGTGCAGTGGCTCACACCTGTAATTGCAGCACTTTGAGAGGTGAGAGAATCCCTTGAGACAGTTTGAGACCAGCCTAGGCAATATATCGAAATCCTTTCTCTACAAAAAAAATAAAAAGAAATTAATTTTAACCTAGGGGTGTGCAATTCTAAATTTTTGTAGTTTATGTGCAGTGGTCTGTTTTGCTACTTTTAATACATGAAGAGGATGGAGTTTGTGCAACATGACCCAGCCTTTGAAGTATAGTTATACCTGCCCTGAACCTGCTCAGTTGGCTATACCTTTCTGAGTAAACAGTAGAACCTGTTTTCAAAAAGGGGCTATCATCTTGTCTAAATGTTTTAAATCATACAATAAGATAAAACCAAGGACAAAGTGGGCCAAAGTCATGAATGAACAGTTATTTGAACAATGAACCTTTAAACCTGAACCTTATAACCAGCCTGAGCCACAACATTGAGTACTGAATCTCATCTACTCTCAATTTAACCATTAGCTTCACGTGCTTCCTTCTCATTTCAAAAGTAATGCTTGAATTCAAATCACATTTTGTTGATAATCCGTATTATCATTCAAACATTTTTAAAGCAGCAAATTTTATGCAATTCCATAGGGAGTCATCCAATTGGAAAAAGAATTAGCCAATCTTGGTGGGGTTTGTGCAGCAGCTCTGATGAAGAAGGACCTAGCACTTCCTATTGGTAAGTGTGGCCAATACTGGATGTTTTTTGATAGGGTTTTGTTTTGTTTTGTATGTATTATAAAAGGGCCAAAAATAGATTTGCAAAATGAATTTTGTAATCTCATATATTCATGAGCAATAACTGCTTCATGTACTGGTAATTTGAGTTTGTTTAGAGACTGAAGGGTATCCTCTGACCTTTTTTAATTTACACACGCACATGGACACCCTTTTTATGCATATACATGCTTTGAGCCAGGCAGTGGGTATAGTGTGTATATTCAGCCAAGCACTGAATATATAGTATTAAACCAAAAGTTCTAGATATTTCTTAAATATTCTAGTGGAAATATCAAGTAGACAACTGAATACTCATTGTCTAGATCAGAGAACAGGTCGATAGAAATGTAATTGAATATGATCGTTATTTAAAGACATGGGACTGTATGAAAGATATTCTACAGCAAGTAGATAAGAAAGAGAAGATAGCTTAGGATTAAAGCTGTGACTTATCAAAATTTCAAAGATGCACAGAACAGGAAGAGGAGGCTGCAGATGAGACTGTGAAGGAACAGTCAGTGAAGAGGAGAGAAACCAGGAGAGGGGATGCTCCTGGGATTTTTGCATGCTCTGAGAAGTGAATTAAAATCTATCATTGGACTTGAAGACTTGTTGGTTGCTTGTATATGCAATAAGAAATATGTTAGCAAAATGAGAGAACTGTAAGTACTTTCAGAGTAGAGAGGGAGAATGGAAAGTAAGGAAGGGCGGTCCATTTGAATATAGGTAGCTCTTTAGAAGAATTTTTCATTGAAGCAGAACAGAGATGAGGCAGTGGCAGAAATGGTACTTTTTTATATGGAGCAAATTTGTATGATATATAGATTAATCTATAATCAAGGGAGTAAAGTTGAAAGTAAAAATGCTTACTGATTCTCTAATATTTATACATGGTTTAAAGTTTTATTTTCTTACCCCCCCAAAATCCATCTTTACTCCTTCATTGAAGATTACTCTTCCCACTGTTATTTTTTTCCTCCCTTTTCTTCCTCTGCCTTTCCTTCTTTATTCCCTTTTCTCTTCCTGGTCCCTTTTATTCTTCTCCATCCCTTTTCTCCCACTTAATATTGGTATATATGTATGGAAATGAGACCTTGTATTCTAGCCACATGAGGAAAATTGCTAGCAACCTATTTTTGTCAATAGCTGTTAAATTTTACATTATATATACTTTTTGACATAGAAAATTTTTATACATACTTGCACAAATACTCAAAAAGTGTATGTTGAAGGGTGGATTAATATAGCAGTGCTTGTGATTGTAAAACCTAGAAACAACCAAAATGTCTTTCAGTTGGGAACTGGTTAAATAAGTAATGGCATAGCCATTCAATGGTAGTATATGCAGCTCTTTGAAAAAGTAGACCTATACAGCCTAACAAGGAAAGCTGTCCAAATTATATTGAGAAAAGCAAGTTGCAGAAGAAGGTCCCATTTTTGCATACATTACTCTGTATATTACAAAAAAGTATGATCATGCCTGTAATCCCAGCACTTTGTGAGGCCAAGGTGGGTGGATCACAAGGTCAGGAAATTGAGACCATCCTGGCTAACACAGTGAAACCCCGTCTCTACTAAAAATACAAAAATTAGCCGGGCATGGTGGCACATGCCTGTAGTCCCAGCTACTCGGGAGGCTGGGGCAGGAGAATCACTTAAACCCATGAGGTGGAGGTTGCAGTGAGCCGAGATCGCACCACTGCACTCCAGCCTGGGCAACAGAGTGAGACTCCATCTCAAAAGAAAAAAAAAGAGTATGTTTATGTGTGGTTGAAACACATATACCTTTTTGGTTTGTTTGCACACCAAGTTTCTAGAACAACACATAGGCTGTTGACACTGGATAGTTTTAAGGGAGCACGGCACTGGTTAGAGGTTTAGAATTTTTTGTTCTACACTCCTATACAATTTGAGTATTTCCCATTGAACAAGTATTACTTTATTAGTAACATTTAATAATTAAACTATCAAAGAAAGATCAATAAATAAAATATGTTCTATATTAACTAATAAAGGAGAAAATGGCTAGGGGATGCAGTCACTGCCTTATATTTTTCTGTGAGTCCCTGTTGTTTACTAAAGTCATAGCTCTTCTGTAAGGCAACCAAAATATAAAGGCCCAGATCTGAAATAATTTGTTCCCTCTTTTTTTAGACAAAACGAATACACTAAGTTCAGAAAGTATACATTTATATTCATAAATGTAGGATATATCTTTGGCAAATCACCCATGGATGCTTCTTGAGTATTGCCTTGAGAATTGTAGTATATTCCCACTGGAAGTATCTTATATATTAAACTGTATGCCACTAGGATTTTTTCCAGAATCACAAATCTTTTCAATCTGGAATAGCAGAATTATTTTTTTAAAAAAAGTGTAATGAATGCAAAGGACTAGAAAATTAAACTAAACTAAATATTGACATATTTTAGTAAAACTCTTTATTTACACAACAGGTAATGAATTAGAAGAAGACCTTGAAATTCTTGAGGAGGCTGCATTGCAGGTATTGTCCCAAATGTTTTAAGGATAAACTTTGTACATTAATTTAAAAAGTATTGTCACTCAGATCAGCCTATTTGTCTTGACCATTGGGTTCATTCATTAAGTACTTCACTTTATTCATTGGCATTATAGAGATAAATAACTTATCATTGCTCCCTTTGGTGGGAGAAACCCATGTGAGCCCTATGTATTTGGTGGGTAATTGACTCTGGAGTTAGACAAAAATCCTTCGGGAGAAAAAAACAAATCAAGTGCCAAGGGTGCGGAGGATGGCTTGCAGAACTGTGGCCATTTAAATTGCATCTTGAAAGAATTTGTTTTTCTTTTTTTGCCTGCTAGAGAAAGGGGAAAGACATTTCACAAAGGATGTATAGTTGTGTTATAAGAAGCAGCAAAAGGTGAGGTTGGTACAGTTGGTGAGCTCAGTCTGTGACAAACCAGTATGTCATATTAAGTGGTTAGGGCTAGTTGCCTGTAGACAATTGGGAGCCATCATTTGTTGTTTTTATTATTGTTTGCTTTACCTTTTTTGCTCGTTTAGGCATTAACTAGCACATTTGGCACTGAATGGAAATACATGAGTACTATATTTCAGTGCAATACCCCCTTTGGATCTGTTACGTCAACCTAATATTTCTCAAAATTGCCTAGAGATGACTACATTGTTTTCTTACTTCATTAGTCTGACTTCAGCTAGCTAGTAATCTGTAATAGGATGGAAATATCAGAATCTGTAGACAGCATTTGTCAAATTGTAATACCTACTTAGGCCAAACCAGAGTTTCTGATGTACTGCTAAGTGAGCCCCATTGGATACCACACACTGAGAACATCAGTGATGGGGAAAATTTTGCATCTAGCAATGGTGTGAAGATAGAAGAAAAGTTGAGAGTCTCTCAACTGGATCAGTGTTACTCAGACCCTAGGATGTGATAGATTTGTAAAATTTTCCAAAAATATTTTTCCTGAGAACTTATTAAGTAAAAACACTCTTTAAAAATGTACTACTTTTTATCAGCAATGTCTTATAAAATAAAAGACATTTTAATAGCCCCAGATGGAAAGGTCTTAGAATGGAAGACTCTGTTATAGCCTTAGTTTTTCTAATTCTGCCATGGATCAGAGAACTTTGGGCCCACATTTGGAAAACACCAATTTAGATCATACTTATTTTCTATACTAGGTATATGTAGTTAGTAATAGTGATTTAAATAATATCTGTAGAGCACTTCATAGGTTTCAGCATCTTTAATATTATCTCTCTGTTTTTATAATTACACTTCGAAATCAGTATTAGGTCTTGCATCTTACAATTATAATAACTGAAGTTCAAAGAAGTTTTGTGACTTCTTGAAGACTCAGAAGGGAAACAAAGGCTGGTACCCAGACCTTGTAATTGTGAAGGCTAGTGCTTTACATTTTACTTATTTCCTGAGGTGAATTAATCAAAGCGGTAATAATGAAAACATTTATTTCATCTTTGTCAAGCACTATTTTAAACATTTTGTGCATTTTTAACTCCCCACAGCAACCCAATGAATTAAAAAGTTTTATCTCCATTTACAAATGAGGCATAGAGCATTTAGGCAGTTCGCCCACGATCATACAGCTAGTGAGCAACTGCACTGGGATTTGTTCGCTGGCAGTTTGGTGACAAAAGAAACCCCGTCTCATTAGCTGGGCGTGGTGGCGCATGCCTGTAATCCCAGCTACTCAGGAGGCTGAGGCAGGAGAATCGCTTGAACCCGGGAGTCGGAGGTTGAGGTGAGCCAAGATCATGCCATTGTACTCCAGCCCAGGCAACAAGAGTGAAACGCCGTCTCAAAAAAAAAAAAAAAAAAGTTTGTGATTTTGAACACTGTCTTCTGATCATAGGGAGCTGTAGTGTTGTCAATAATGTTAAGAAACGTCTGAGTTTTAAAAAGCCATTGGCATCTTATGTGTATTCCTTTTTTAAAGTTAAATCTTTGTACCTTAAGATTCAAAATAAAAATAAATTCAACAGATATATAATAAACAATATGTGTCAGGCAACATTCTAGGTGAAGGAGAACTATCAAAGAGTTTCTATTAGTCCATTTTCACACTGCTATAAAGAACTACCTGAGGCTGGGTAATTTATAAAGAAAAGAGGTTTAATTGACTCACAGTTCCCTACATGGCTGAGGAGGCCTCAGGAAACTTACAATCATGGCAGAAGGCAAAAGGGAAGCAAGGCAAGTCTTACATGGCAGCAGGAGAGAGAGAAGGGGAAAGGCCTACACACTTATCAAACAACCAGATATTGTAAGGAAAACAGCAAGGGGGAAGTCTGCCCCCATGATTCAGTCACCTCCCGCCAGGTCACTCCCCCAACATGTGGAGATTTATAATTCGAGTTGAGATTTGGGTGGGGACACAGAGCCAAACCATATCAGAGTTCATATATGGTTTATAATTTCAGGGATTATTATGGTATATAAGGTGTCATCTAGACCAGATATGGAGAGATCTTTATTATGTTATTGTTCAAGAAAAAAAAAAATGGTGTCCCAAATTGCCTCTTTTTGGCATGTAAGGTAGTTATTCTGATAATCTAACATGTATTAAACACTTACTATTTGTTAGGCAATGTATTATATACTTTATATGCATTATTTAGTTTGAATTTTTTAACTGTGTAAGAGAGATTATTTGATGACCAGTTTATACATTTTACAGATTCAGGGATGGTAACTTTTTAGCTTAAGAGCACACAGCAAATAATTTGTCCAAAGCCAGGATTTGAATTTAAGTCTATTTGATTCCAAAGATGATTATTTTTGAAACTGTATAATTTCAAATTTGATAGTACTAGAAATGTAATTATTTTCTATGAAAAAATCTTACTGGAATTTATTTTATAGTCAGTAAAAAGTTTTCAGAGTTCCAGCATTTAAAACAAGTCTCTCCAAAAACATAAGACTTGCTTGTCAGATAGGTGAAACCTAAAATTTGTTTTATCTGCCTCTTCTTCTTAACTTTAGTAAGGCTTAGGCAGGCTAATGAGATGTGTGTGCTGCCACAATCAGGCTTCCACCCACTTTTTACCCAAGTCAAGACCTTGGTGCCCACCCACCCAAGAGAACAGACACACCTTACTCATGATAGCTGCCTGTAAGGGGGACTGAAAAAGAGGGAAGCCGGATGCAGTGGCTCAGGCTTATAATCCCAGCATTTTGATAGGGCAAGGTGGGAGGATTACTTGAGGCCAGGAGTTCAAGACCAGCCTGGGCAACATAGCAAGACCCCATCTCTACAAAAAGTTTTAAAAAAAATTAGCCAGCCATGGTGGCATACGCCTGTAAGTCCCAGCTACTTGGGAGGCTGAGGCAGAAGGATCGCTTGAGCCCAGGAGGTTGAGGCTACAATGAGCTATGATGGCACCACTGTACTCCTGGGTGGCAGAGTAAGGCCCTGTCTCAAAAAGAAAAAAGGGGGAGACATCCACAGTTGCTGACAGAAGGGAGCTCTGGCCCTGAAAAATGAGGACATAACATATAGAGGACTGGCATGGAAGGAGATACACCATTTTATCCAGCATGCAGATCTCTGACAAGGCATTTATTTTTGAGGGAGGAAAGAGACTGGAAATATTGTCTCATATTTTTCTCTCCTAGGAATTTCCTATTCTGTGGGTTAAAAGAAGGAACAGTGGGGTACGTGGAGAAAATGATTTCTCCGTAAAGGCCTATCTGAAAGTATCTGCATGTTGAAAAATTTTATGTAATTAAAGTTTTATTTTTAAGAATATATAAATATTCTTTTTTACTTAACAGGTGTGCAAAACCCATTCTGGAATTCTTGGAAAGGGTCTAGCTCTTTCTCATTCACCAACTATATTAGAAGCACTTGAGGGAAATTTACCACTCCAAATCCAAAGCAATGAACAGTCTTTTCTGGATGATTTTATTGCCTGTGTCCCAGGATCAAGTGGTGGAAGGCTTGCAAGGTAAATGTACTTTAAGTTACTTACTTTATTTTAGGGCTTTCATCTTTCTTCATTTCTGAAAGAGGGGAGTCATTAGAATATTAAAATACTACTTTAAAAAAGTCTGGTTTATGTATGTTTAACTTGCTGAAATATAAAATGATAGTTAATATTTTTGTTTGGCGGTTGTTTGTTTGTTTGTTTTTGAGAGAGAGGGTCTCACTGTGTTGCCCAGGCTGGAGTGCAGTGGCATGATCTCAGCTCACTGCAACCTCCACTTCCTGGACTCAAGCGATTCTTGTGCCTCAGCCTCCCAGGTAGCTGGGATTACAGATATGCCACCACACCCGGCTATTTTTCTTTTTTGTATTTTTTGTAGAAACAGAGTTTCCCCATGTTGCCCAGGCTGGAATAGTTATGATAGTATATGATAAGACCAGGTGCAATGGCTCATGCCTGTAATCCCAGCACTTTAGGAGGCTGAGGTAAGTGGATTGCTAGAGCATAGGAGTTGAAGACAAGTCTGGCCAACATGGTGAAATCCTGTGTCTACAAAAAATACAAAAATTAGCCAGGCATGGTGGCACACTCCTGTAGTCCCAGCTACTTGGAGGCTGAGGTGGAAGGATTGCTCAAACCCTGGAGGCAGAGGTTGCTTTGATTGTGCCAGTGCAATCCATGGTGAAACCCTGTCTCTGCAAAAAATACAAAAATTAGCCAAGCATGGTGGCACACACCTGTAGTCCCAGCTTCTTGGAGGCTGAGGTGGGAGGATTGCTCAAACCCTAGAGGCGGAGGTTGCTGTGATTGTGCCACTGCAACCAGCTTGGGCAACAGAGCAAGACCCTATCTCAAAAAAAAATTAACTAATTAAATTAAATTTATTATAGTTGTTAATTGATTATTTTTGTTGCTTTTTGTTTTTAGGATGAAAAGGGAAAAAAATATGCTGGCCTGCATGATTTTACTAGTAAAAAAAAAATCCCAACTTTTTTCTGGTTTTAATTTTAAAATTGCAGAGATTACTCTTTAGTTTTTAAAAATCACAAAATAGTGATTGGAGAGGAATGTCAAATCACTTAAGTCAGCCTCACTACTATACTATGCAGACGTTTTTATGTAATGCATGGTAGAATTACTTATTACTCAGCTCACAGGACAACTTGAATGTGTAGATCACAGAATGAATTCAGGAATGAACATCACAAATTACACAACATTGATGCATTTTAGGTGGAAAGCAAGGTAATGAGGAAGATAGTTGAGAAACTGTGAAAAAAAGATGGGCAGTACACCTTGAACCTGGCTGCTGTCAGGCAAGTAGAGGGCCATTTCTACCCCTGCTTTTACAGAGACACTGCTTTTTCCAGGCTTGCAGGATGGCAGAGTAAGGTGGAGCTCCTTCAGAGAGAATGAGCCTGCTCAGGACTTCAAATTATGCACAACCTACATTCGTGTTCTTGGTGATTTTAAATTAGCCATAGTTAAAATTTCAAGTTTCCTGGTTTTAAAAAGTATTTTTATACTGTATTTAAATATCAGAAATCTCCTGTGCTTAGGCATGTTTTTTAAATGAATTTGTCCTTAACAGTTTCTGAGGGAGACACTCATGATTATCACTGAGTTGGAAATGAAGATAATGTTTTAGCATTTTGTTTGATACAAGTTTTGTTCATTTGGCTTAATTTTATATTAATTGTTGAAGATGCTGATCAGTGTTTGGGGTTTTGTTTATTTGTTTTTCATTACTGTTAGGTGGCTTCAGCCAGATTCATATGCGGATCCTCAGAAAACATCTTTGATCCTGAATAAGGATGATATTCGTTGTGGTTGGCCTACCACCATAACTGTTCAAACAAAAGACCAGTATGGGGATGTGGTACATGTTCCCAATATGAAGGTAATTATAACTGGATTAAATTAGCAGACATCTATATACTGGCTGCAATGACTGATAAAATTTTAGAAATGCCAAGTGCTGAGAGTCCATTTGTTCTACCCTCTTTATATAAAGGGTGATGCTGAAAGTTTGTTTAAATGACTTGTTTATATTAATTAGTCCCCAAGTGTCCAAGTTACACCTGTTTTTTTTGTGAGTTTGTTCTTTACATTTTGCTACCTGTTACGGGGACTCAAAGGAGGGATAAGAAAGTATCCATCTAAAGAGTGCTAGACACATACAGTGAAGCCCCTCAATATGTATTGATTGAATAAATGCATGAAAGAATACATTTTTAAATTTTGTGTATAGTTTTGAAAGACTCAAGTACGTTCTGTGTTTGGTATTACTGAAACCACATTTTAAAAATAACACTCATTAAGTTAGAAATATATGAGTTTAGATTGTAAAAGAATGAGGAATTGAAATAGTTGTATACCATATTGATGAATATAGAGTTTTTAGGATACCTCTTACCTGAAATATTAATAATAATGTTTCAGAGCATATTATACATAATTATTTGTGATTTAATCTGTTAATATGAATATCTCATTTAAAACTTTTATTTCTGAAAAAATTATATTGAATAAAATTTTATATAGGCAGTCCCCAGCCCTTTCCTCCTTCAAAGTTGTCTTATAGAGTGATTGGTTGTTTGAAGCTTAGAGCTGATTAAGCCACAAAATCCTTTTTGCTCATTGGGTAGCTAATTTTGCCTCAATATTATTTTCAGTAGAACTATTTCAACTACTTCATGCATTCTTTCATTTATAGCGTGAAGAAGTACAATGCCAATGTAGCATCTTACCTAAGTAAAAAATAAGAACACATTGCTTACATGACTTAAGACCAGTAAATAAAACTGTATGGAAAAGGTTTCAACCCTGATACTAAATCAAAATCAGTCTTTTAGCAGTATCTTTCAAATATTTGGCCATGATCCATAGTCAGAATTTTTATTATAACCCAAAGATATAAATATAATATATGATGGAATAGTGTCTATGTAATAGCATATGTTAAGTACATATAATATACTTTATATATACATACACACATACATACATAATATGCTATACTCTGATGCTTTCTCTATCTTATTTTTTAAGGCAAGTCATACCCTTCACAAACTGAGTTCATGCCTACTTGGAATTATTCTATACAATGCAAAAAGCATCACAAATTATAAGAAAAAAAGATTTAAAAATAAAGTTATCCTGATAGTGATATGAAAAAAATTACTACTCAAGGACAGATTTTTGATCACAGTACAATACACGTTAAGATGTTGAAGGGCTTGTATATTGTGTATTCACTGATGAATTTCTCAATGTAGTGAGTTGTTAAATCCAATCTTTGAACCCTCAAGATTAAGTTTTTTATTCATGTGACAACATTCTAATACCATGTTCATACTGTTACGCTTCTGATATTTCTTTAGTTGTATTTTCTTTCTTGTGTTTTCTCCTTTGCACCTTTTATTATCTCTTTTGATATCTGGTATGTTTATATCTTGCATTTGAAAGTCAGACTTCATCTTTTTTTCTTTTCATCTTAGAGTTCTTTTTTTAACCATATGATGGATCTGCTTTTTTTTTTCCTCTCTTCTTCCCTCTCCTCTTTCCCTTTCACCTCCTTCTCCTTTTTCCTTCTTTTCTTCCTCTTCTTTCTCCTCCATATATTTGCTTCTCCTACTATCTTTCCTTGACTTAAACCTCTTACTCAGTGTGCTCTAAATTCATGTCAGATTTATCCAATTTAGAAACTTTCTAGAAAACCACTCTAAATACTATCTAGAAGAAGTGATTTGTGCTCCTACTGATGTTTAATGTATTAATATCATATTATATTAGCTGGAAACAAAATTAATTTAACCTATTTTACTTTCAGCCTATTAGTATATGAAGTCTTAGGAGCACTTTAGACTGTTCATAAATTGTTAAAATCTTTATGCAGTAATAGCTAATTATTTGAAGCATAAAAGTTGATTTGCAGCTAATATTTCAATGAGTTCCAAAATGCTTTCAAAAGCAACAAGTGTTATTGTTATAATTTTTTACTTATAAAATGACTGTTCCCTACCTGTGATAAAATGAGTTAGAACTAAACACACATATTGTACCAATGTCAATTTCCTGGTTTTGGTTCAGTACCATCAGTGTCTGACAGTGTTGGATAAAATGTAGCCATTGGGGGAACCTGAGTGAAGGGTACATAGGACATTTCATCTATTTTTGAAACTTCCTGTGAATTAAAAAAAAAAGTTTATTTTAAGGAAATCTTATTTATTGACAAGAGAAAGTCACATAGGAAATACAAGAATAACTTTTTTTTTAAGTAACACAGTTTGTAAAAGAAAGCAGAATGGTTATTCTATAATGTCTCAGTTTTCTTAAAGTATAAAATTATTCAGTGATTTACTTCAAGGTTCATGGTGCATACACACATAGACTCTAATGATAATTTATTAAATACTTAGGGTAAATATAGTTGCTTACAGAAAGGTTAAATTGAAATAGTATGTATAAAAATAGTGTCTGTAATTTAATATCAAATATGTTTGAGACAGGAGAGTTCCCTTGACCCCTTTGTGGGACTTGGGACGTGGGTGTCGTGTGGCTCATTTACTTGACTGCTGCACTCAAACCCCTTGCAGGATGGCGAGCACTGAGGCAAGCAGGTGCCAGGGCCCAGGCAAGCACCTCTGGGCTCCAGCCCCACAGCAGCATCTAGGAGTGTGTCACAATTAATGCTTTTTTAGCTTTGTTGTCTGTGGATGGCTAAGTGTTAAACAGCTCAGTGAAGAATCAGCATGACAGCCTTTTTGGGTTCCTGCACCCAGTGTGTCCTGAATTCTTGTCTGGCATTCAGGAAGAATCAGGTCATATGAATGGTTTGAAACGCGATGAATGCGTGAATACAGCAGATTTTTTTTTTTTTTTTTTTTTTTTGAGACAGAGTCTCGCTCTGTCGCCCAGGCTGGAGTACAGTGGCACGATTTCAGCTCACTGCAAGCTCCGCTTCCTGGGTTCACTCCATTCTCCTGCCTCAGCCTCCCGAGTAGCTGAGACTACAGGCACCCGCCACCACGCCTGGCTAATTTTTTGTATTTTTAGTAGAGACGGGGTTTCACCGTGTTAGCCAGGATGGTCTCGATCTCCTGACCTTGTGATTCGCCCGCCTCAGACTCCAAAAGTGCTGGGATTACAGGCGTGAGCCACCGCGCCCAGCCACGGCGGATTTTATCAAACGGTGGAAGTGGCTCTCAGCAGAAGGGGAGCTAGAAAGGGCATGGTGTGAGAAGAAGGTGATATTTCCCTGAAGCCCAGCCGTCTCCAGCCATGCTCCTCTCCTAAGTGGTGCCATCTGAGGTTAAGCCGCGCGTCTCATCAGTTGCTGCTTCTCCTCTTGGTATTCGCCACTTGTCTCTTTGCTAGCTGAAGTCTGGGATTTATAGGGGCATAGGGTAGGGGGGCAGGGCTGGCCAAAAAGGCAACATTTAGGCGGAATACAAGGATAAACTGTTCTCATTTAGGGTCATGGTTTCCAGGCTTGAGAGTGGGGCCTTTGCCAGGGAACCACCTTCTCCTATCCAGTATATCCCTGACTCCTGTCTGTATCATCTTCAGATTTTTTAATTGTTTAAAGTTTAAAGCTTTTTATGCTGGCACATGTGTTTGAGTTGAAATTTTAACCATATACCTGTAAACTGCCATTTTTTAAATATAAGAATGGGTTTTTAATATTTCCAGGGGTTTGTGTCAGTCCAAATACTGATCTCTTGTAACCTCACCTGAAGATAGTGGTCACTTAATGGAACATATTTGTCACCTGTGCCTAACATTATATAAATAGCGAAAGTCTCAAACTACTGATTCCATAGAATCGCGTTGTTAAGAACAATAAACATAAAGACAGTCTGTAGTTCTGAGGTAGCTCTCAATTACTTAAAAATACTATCACTTTTATCTCTGCACTTTTTCTATTTCTGTGACAATTCTGTTGAATTACCTGTTCTTGCCAACCACAAAACTATTGTCTGTAGGGAGCAGCAGAAACTTTGAGTAAAGCTCAGAATGGTGATACCTGCTGAAGAACTAAAGTGGTATTCAAATTGTGTGTACATTTGTGGTTGCCTAGGGGTCAAGTGTTTTTCTGCCAATGCATAAACAAATAAAAACAATGTTTTCTTATAATTTCTGGGAAATATTTCTAAAAAGTATTTTTCAGAAATAGTAGTTAGTAGATGAAATAGTAGAGTTAGTAGATCAAAGATAGTCCCGTTTTGTTGAAGAAATTGAGTTGCAAAGTTATAATTCCTGGAAAATATATCTAAAAGGTATTTTTATAAGACAATTTGTATTTTCAGTATATTAACATCCATTAACGAATCTGTTTTTTGCATCTATACTGTAGAGTTAGTGGACGAAAGATAGTCCCATTTTATTCTTAAAGAAAGTGAGTTGCAAAGTTTAATTATTTAATAGATTGCTTAAATCAAATGTTGATGTTGGTGATAGGGCTGTCTAATAATATTCTTTCTTCACCCGAGTAAAGAAACATATTTGGGCTTTAGGTATAAGATTTGTTTTATTAAGTGTTAATTTTTGAAACTTCTATAAATAGAGTACATTTTCTTCTGTAGAACAGTGCAGCTCAAACTGACATTAGTGCTTTAAAATGTGCTGAGATTGTGGGAAAGCATTTACACTTGCATTACCTGATAAAATAATTTGTTAGTCCCTGCAATAACTTAATGTAGATTCATTCCACTATCTTTTCCTGTACTTTATTAGTGGTGCATTTGTTTTTATGTTTTGATATCTCTGATTATGTATTCCAAAACTATGAGGCCTTGTTTTTACACCGTGTTCATGGTTCATATTGTCAACCCATCTTGAGGTCATTTGAACTCTTTTCAATAAGCCTTTGAAGGGAATGCCAGAGACAGACCAATGCTAACATAAAGTATACATAATTATGAGTTTATAATAGTAAGTTGCTTATTTTGATGTCAGTGACAATTAAATAATAATGGTATTTGGTTTCTATAATACCATGTTTAGGTGGAAGTGAAAGCTGTCCCTGTTTCTCAGAAAAAAATGTCTTTACAACAAGATCAAGCAAAGAAACCTCAAAGGATTCCTGGCAGTCCTGCAGTAACAGCTGCATCTTCTAATACTGACATGACTTATGGAGGGCTGGCATCACCAAAGCTAGATGTTTCATATGAACCAATGATAGTGAAGGAAGCTCGATATATTGCCATAACAATGATGAAGGTAATTTATTTTACTTATCAGAAAAATTTTAGTTTTCAGCATTTGTTTATTTAACCAACATTTCAGTGATTCAGATGCAGACATGAAATTGTAAGTCCAAAGAGCATTTGATGGATATTAAATTTGCAGCAACACTTATTAAGATGATGTTATCCTGTCTTCAGAGAGGATTTTCATTGGTTTTTGGCAGATGTCCAGAGGGGATCACCAATTACAGATCAAGTTAATCGAATCAGAGATACAGATGGATTAGGCTGAGTTTCAGTTCCTGTGAAAGTACTTGTCTACTTCTGACCAGGAACAGTGGCCCACACCTATAATCCCAGGGCTTTGGGAGGCCAAGGAGGGAACATCACTTGAGGCCAAGAGTTCGAGACCAGCCTCAGTAATGTAGTGAGACCCCATCTCTACAAAAAAATAAAAATAAAATAAAATTTCTAAGTACTTGTCTATTTGCAGTTTACTATTCTTGCTAGAATGTATCTCTTCAGGGTTTTGGGGTTTACCTATGCCCCCTTCAATTTTGGGTTCTCTCAAATGCCAGATGTATCTCCTAGAACTCTTTGGGATTTTTAGCTCTCTAATACCTTTAGACATTTAAAAAATATATATTTTGGATGTTTTAGTTATCTTCAGAGGCAATGTTAATCCGAATTATCAAGGTAGTCATTATTTGAAGCTGAAGTTTGTAATTTTGGCATTTTCAGAGAGCAGTGGTGAGCCATTGAAGGCTTTTGGGTAGAGGAATGGCTTGATTAGATTTGTGTTTTGTAACGATTGTGGTGGAATATGGACAGTGTAATTGGGCAGATGATCAAGAAACATGACTTGGTTTTAGTCTCTTTAGGGGACTATTGACTTAATTTGGTGAGATATGCTGATCAGTTGGACTAGTGAGTTGTCAATGAGGATAGATTCAATAGAATCAGTAGAACCTGGTAGCTAGTGGAGGTGGAGTAAAGAAGAAAGGTAGGAAATAAAAGATGAAATTCACATATTGAGCTTGTGTCCAATTGATAATGGAAGAGGGGCAGGTTTTGGTTGAGAAAGATAGCAGATTCAGTTTTGGATGAGGTGAGTTTTAGATACTTCTGAAATACCTACGTGAAGATGTATAAAACAAAGTTAGATGTACAGACCTGAGTGATCACAGTCTGACCTCAAGAAAAGGATTCAGGAATCATTAGCACTTACATTACTTATGAAGTCATGGGAATAGATGATACCTTCTATGGTGAATGAAGACAGAAGTTCCAGGATAGGATCCTAAGAAACACCAATATCACTGAGTCTCAGACTCTTCTCTACATCAGAAGCATCTGGAGCACTTACTTAAAAAAAAAAAAAGATTTCCAAGCACCCAGAGATTTAGATTCAGTGGGTTTGGAGAGAGGTTCAGGAATTTACCTGAAACAAATATGCAGTGATTCAAATTCAAAACCTAAACTTTGAGAAATACTGATTTACAAGGTAGATAAGAGAAAAAGAAAGGAAAAGGAAAAACGATTCACATTGGTAAGAATACTAGCCAAAGAAGCAACACATAATTAAGGGAATGGCTGAAGTGAGTGTAGATAAGCCTTTCAAGATGTTTGACTATAGAAAGAACCAGAGGAAATGGAATTGAGTGAAGGCTTTGGAGTATGGGGTCTTATTAATAGAGATAGAGTTACATATTTGAGTGCTGATTAGGAGGTAATTGAGAGAAAAAACAATAAAGATACTCCGAATATAAAAATAGAATCTAGAGCTCAAGTGGTAGCATTGGCCTTAAATAGGAGGAGGAGTAGTGCTTGTTTCATTCTACCAGAAGAAGGAAAAGAAAGCTTAATACAGATGCTAGTAAATTTGTAGGTTTTGCAGCCAAAGGAATTATTTAAAACAGTAATTATGTGTTTTGGGATGGAAATGGAAGTGATGAATCTTAGGGTCAAGGTTTTGAAACAAAGCGGATAAAATGAAATTGTTATTCTAGAGATTAAAAGAAAGCACCGATCAGAAAAGATTTATTAGATGCCTTTGAATAATCAGTTGAAATTGAAGATTATTTGTGAATAACAGTGTGAGTCATATGAGCATGGATAAAACAATCATTTGGATGGATCTAGCATTAAAATTTTGCTAGACCAGCAAAAGAACAGTGGAACAAGGAAGTTAAGTATATGGTAGCTAAAGAGAGGACAGTGGAACCTAATTTAGTTTGGAAGGGAAGAAATTTCAGAGTCAAGGAAGTAAGAGGGACTAGACGTCAAAGTAGATATAAGAATAGTTATTGAGGTAAAAAACTGAACAGGCCATTTTATTTTGATTTCAGAGACAGAACAATTCTGAGTAATGTCACAGGTCTGTGACTTTTGGTGTGAGTGGCTGGAAAAAAAGTTGAAGTTATTGAGGTTAAAGAAATCAGGGAATGAGAAACTAGAGTTCTAGGTGAATTGTCCACTGGCTGTTAAAGAATTCTCTTCTCTCACTTTTTACTCACCAAATTAATAATCTCATTATGAATTCTATATCCGAAATAAATATTTGTCTCATTTTTTAAAAAATCCATCTTACACATTTGGCTATTTTAGTATCAAATTTTAAAATTATTTCTACTATTAAAAAAAAAAGCAAGGCTAAAAATTCTTCTCTATTCCAACACTTGCTTAAGGAATTTAGTTTCTAGTCTCCTTACCTCCCTAATCTTTTAGTTTCCTATGAACATGCTTCAGTTTGTATAATTTCTTTTGCAAATTTTGTTACCACAACGGAATGCAATATTTCAAACATGTTCTGAGTAGCCTAGGTTTAGAGCAGGTATGGAATACCATTCCCAAACAGTATCTGTGAAATGTTAATTCAGGTCCCAGGAAAGGAAATTTTCCTTATCAACCATTCACAGATACTATGTATTCACTCAGTAGTGAGCCAAGTATTGTAGAGGATGGAAAGATGAAATATGGTCTCTTCTTTCATTACTAAGTGTGTTAATAATATGAATTTGAGGGAGAGTGATGAAATAGAAAATACATTGTACTGAAAGTCTAGAAACATGGATTTCCTTTTCTCACCTTTGTATGGCTAAAGACTCAGCCTTAACTTGCGTTTTTCTCATGTGTAACTTTTGAGTAGGTAAAGTCAGCTAGATCATTTCTAATTCATTTTTATGAAAACAAAAAGGGTAGAGAGAAGGAAGGGGGCTTTGAGTTTGCTTCCTTTTACTGTAAGTACAGGAGGAGTTAGAAGTAGATGAGCAGTTGGACATCTTGACCTGAACCTTGAAAGATAATGATTTCTTTGCTAATGTTGCAGGCATACAGAAGTATTCAGAATAATGTGCCAAGTTTCATGTACCTACAGCCCATTTTTGTCTTTACATTTTACCATAATTGTTTCAGGTCATTTTGTTATTTTTTTATTAAGAAACAGATTGCTACAGGTACAATTGAAGCCTGCCTAAACCCTTCCTCAGACCCATTACCACCCCTTCCTTAGAGGTAACCACTGCCCTGAGTGTAGTGATTCTCATTCCTGTATATATTTTTAGGCTCTTACTGAATACAAATTTATTCATAAGCAGTATATTTTGGGTTGTTCAATACGTTTTCCAGAAGTTTATAAAATAATATCGTATTGTATGTATCATTTTGCCAGATTTTTGCTTAATGTTGTTTTTGAGGTTCAGCCGTGTAGCTATAGGTCATTCATTTTAACTGCTTTAAAGCATTCCATTGGGGATCTATTCCATAATCTGTCCATTCTCCCATTGATGGACGCTTATTATAAACTGTACTGAAATAAACATTCTGTATTTGTCTCCTTTTGTACATGAGCAAGAGTTTCTGTAAGATACATACTTAGAAGTGGAATTGTTAAGTTGTAGGGCATGCACAACTACAACTACATTAAGTATTGCCAAAACTCACACTCCCACGAGCAATGTATGAAAGTAGCAGGTGCTGCATGTTCTCCTCTGCGCTTGGTTCTTACCAACACAATTTGATGACCATGATGTGATTTATTTTAGTTTTGTTTTAATTCGTATTTTCCTCCAAGTTTAGTTAAATAACTTTTCTAGTCTTTATTGACCTTTCAGATTTCTTCTTCAGAGAATTGTCTTGACTGTCTTTTTTTGTTGTTGTTTATCTCTTTTGTATGGATTTATTCTCTATATGTTATGGATGCATATCACCTTTGGGTTATACGAGTTACAAATCTCCTTCTCCAAGGTGGAAGCTTTTCCTTTCTGTATAGTATTTGTTTTGGAAAACTTTAAAATTTTAATGTACTCAAAAGATGTTATCTGTTTTTTTCTTTTGCTTTTTTTTTTTAAGTTTTGGTGTTTACTTTTGGATCTTCAAACCTTGTAGAATTTATCTTTAATAAATGGTCTAAAGTAGGTAATTTTTTTTCTTTTTCTCCTATATGTATAACCAGTTGTCTCACAACCATTTATTGAATAATATATTACTCTGTTAATTGAGAATGTTTTTAAATGATTTTACGATTGTTCAGACTGGTCTCTTTCTTAAAGGTTTATGAAAATTATTCATTTGAAGAACTACGTTTTGCATCACCAACTCCTAAGAGGTAAGGATCGTTTTCTCAAAGTATAACCAAAACATGTGTTGTCAGCTGCTTGCAACTAAAATCATCCTGCATTTCAACTTTATTTTCTATAAATAAATACTTTATAGCATTTTTCTAGGTTGCCGATAGAGATGTCATATAATAATGTATAGATTTGCAGAAAGAATGTGTTTACATTCAACTGTAATACTGCCAATATATTACATAATACTACCTACTAGTGAAAATAGGTATGTAAAGTAGATATCTAGTATGTAAAAATGTTTAAATTGACTTGTTTAGGGTTGATTAGTTTGTTTTTTGTTTGTTTGCTATTTAAAAATTGTTCCTTTTCTCCTTCCAATGAATTGTGGAGAGATTTCAGCATGTGGTATACTTGTATTTGATTGTACTGTCTTAATTTTTCAGCCCGTAAGTAATTCTGTTAACTTCAGATTTAAGGACTTTTTTTGAGTTAATATTTTATTTGTTAGGAACAGTACTACTTAAAATAGAAACTTGGAAAAAATAATTAGATGCATTATACTTTGGAGAGATCACCTCCATAGAATTTAGAAAAATCTCTGAAGTGAATCTGAGATAGCAGAATTATGTATAGGCTGGAAATACCAGTTTGAAACTCATGGGGAAAATAAATTTGGGAATCATCTATATTGAGATGGCATTTAAAACTGAGGAATGGTTGTCACCTAGATAGATGGCATAGGTAGAAAAAAGATGACCCAGACCCAAATCCTGGGGCATTCCTTAAATTAAACGGTAGTCAGAAAAGGGAAAGCAACAAAACACTGACAAAGAATGGCCAGTGAGATAAGAAAAAAGCCAGGAAAATGTCACAGAAGCAAAAAGAAGGAAGTATTTCAAGATAGGAAGAGTTGTCAGCTATCAGATGCTACTGAGAGATTGCTGAGGATGAAGTGACCATTGAACTTGGGGACGTGGTGGTCATTGGTGACTTTGACATCAGCAGTTGTAAGGAAATGTTGGAAACAAAAGCCTAATAAGGATAAATTGTGGAAAGGAAGTAGAAGTGAGAGAATGGAGTTTGATATAAATCGGAGAAGAGATGTAAGACCTTATTAGAGGGGGTTGTAATACCAAAGGGAGGTGTTAGTGAAGATTCTAAAGTTTGTGTGCTAATCGAAATGATTCACTAAATTGAGAGTAATTGATGATGCATGAGAGAGAACAAGGTGATTGCAGCATAAAAATGTTGAGGGAATAAGATTCACAGCACAAGGGGAGGGACTAGCTTTGGATCAGATCCAGGACACTTCCTCCATTCTACCATGAGAGAAGGCAGGGGAAAGTAGGTTTATTAATCACATTGCAACTTTGAGGTTGTATCTGATTGCTTATTGTCTCACAGAAGAAAGAGGTGAGGTCATGATCACCTGAGAGTTAGGAAGAGAGGTGATGCAGGTTTGAGGTAAGAAAGAAGTGAAATTCAAGCATTTTGGAGAGTAGGCAAGCGTACTATGGCAGGGTGGTAGGATTGCCAGGAGGTATGCAAACAAATTAAATGTTTGCTGAACTATCGTAATGATGTTGACTGCTTAACCAAAAGTAAAATTTCCAATATCCATCTTATTTCTTTTCAGACCCAGTGAGAATATGCTGATCCGTGTCAATAATGATGGGACTTATTGTGCAAATTGGACTCCAGGGGCTATTGGACTCTACACTCTTCATGTTACCATTGATGGCATTGAAATCGGTATTTTCTTTAAAGCCATGAGCTACTACTTACTTCAAATAACTAGAGTCAAAATTATTTTTATCTTCTAGTTTTGCCCATTAACTTGCACTAGACATATGGATAGGTTTCATAACTTATTTGAGGCCTTGTTTTCTCTTTCATAATGAGTATTTAATTAGTGCATTAACATTTTGTAATAATTTCTGGTGTCCGCCCAGGCACTGTAGCCCTCATGACTCTCTCCCTCCATTTCCTGATGTTACTAGTCAGGTGTGCTCTCTTCCACGCTGCTGTTACCCTGTCTCTCCCCTGTGGGTGTGTCTGTGCCTCTCCTGACTGTGAGCAGAAAGCATTCATGTTTGGATCTTCCAGTGTAGCTCAGTGCCTGGCACATAATGACAGCAAATATGGATGAATGAATGCATTTTTAAATCGATCATTGTGTTAATCTGGGTTCTCCAGAGAGACAGAACCAATAGGATATCTATACAGTCATGTACCTCATAGCATTTTGGTCAGTGACGAACAGCGTATATAATGGTGGTCCTATAAGATTTTCCTGTACCTTTTCTATGCTTAGATATGTTTAGATATGCAAATCCTTACCATTGTGTTACAGTTACCTGCAGTATTCAGTAGGGTAACATGCTGTACAGGATTGTAGCCTAAGACCAATAGGCTGTACCATATAACCCAGGTAATCTGTACCATCTAGGTTTGCTTAAGTCCACTCTGATGTTTGCACAATGATGAAATTGCCTGGTGATTCATTTCTCAGAACATTTCCCCATCCTTAAGCAATGCATGTCTATATTAGATATATGAGAGGATTTATTAGGGAAATTGGCTCGCACAATTATGGAGTCTGAAAAGTCCCATTATGGGCCACACCTGCAAGCTGGAGATCCTGAGATGCAGGTAGCCTCAGAACCAGGGAAGCAGATGATGTAACTCTCAGTCTGAGGCCAAAGGTCTGAGAATCCAGGAGGGCCACTAATAATAAGTCCTGGAGTCTAAATGCTGGGGACCCTGGAGTTCAAATGTCAAGGGACAGTAGAGGAAGTGTTTATCCAAGCTCCAAAAAATAGAAATACATTCACCTCTCCTCTGTTTTTGTTTGCTCTGTGTCCCCAGCTGATTGGACAGCGCCTGTCCACATTGAAAGCAGATCTTCTCCACCTACTCCACTCACACTCACACGCCAGTCTTGTCTGGAAACACCCTCACAGACGCAAAAGTAATGCCTTACCAGGTTTCTAGGTATTCTTTAATCCAGTCAAGTGGACACCTAGAAGTAATCATCACAACCATTAACTTTGAAAAACATATTTCTTTTGTTTTAGGCATTAATCTTTTCTTTACTTTTAAACTGTCTGTATAATAGGATAACAAGGAGAAAACTCTAGTACTTATCAGTGTGAATTTCTTGTAACATTATTTTTCCTGATGCTCCTCAAGGAAAGGGGTTTCTGTGATCAGATAAATTTCGAAAACCTGGTTTGGGATGAGTATCTTTTATCTGAAATGCTTGGCACCAGAAGTATTCTAGATTTTGGACTTTTTCTGATTTTGGAATAGTTGTATTACAGTTACCAGTTGAGCATCCCTAATTCAAAATTTCAAAATTCAGAATGCTCCAGTGAGCACTTTTTTTGAGCATCATGTCAGCACCCAAAGGTTTTAGATTTTAGATCATTTTGGATTTGGGGTTTTCAGATTAGAGATGCTCAACTTGTATATGGTAGTCTCACTTGAGACATTCACACAATCTACATTAACATATTAGGGATTCTGAGAAGTTCTGAAATCAAGAAACTTGTCTGACTATGTTTAATCCTTATCGTGGGACCCCTTGCAAGTGGAGAAGAGAGAAACAGGGTGGAGATAGTAATAATACCAATTAATATTTCACCAAAATATTTGGGAAACCCTGCTTTAAGTAGTTTGCTTTGGCAGTGGAGGTAAAGAGGTACTTTACATTGATGTAATTGTATGTTCTCATACATTAATGTAACTATATAGACTCAGATATATCCAGTTCATCTGTACCATTCTAGAGACCTTCACCAGCAGCCTTTGCTGCACTCTTCTTTATTTCAATATATTCATAAAGCCTTTAGTTCAGCAAATGTTTTTTGGTTCTGAGCATACATTTTCCTGGGTAAGACAATTCCTGTCAAGTGTTAACACTTTAATGAGGATTGTGAAAATAAAACACGCAAACAAAAATCTTATGAAGTAGAATATAAGTAGTGACACACAAGACATACAAATTACAGTAGGAATTCGAAAGTAGAAATAGCCAAGAATGACATTGTGAAAATTTTCTTTTCTCTAAAAATTCTGGTAAAATTTCAGTAGATAGAGTTTTTTTCATCATCTTATCTAATAGTGGGGATGAAGAAAACTGATACAAATTAGATAAGAAAAATCCACTTATATTTGTTTTTTGGAATGAAGCTGAACAAAAATACTTGCTTACTTAGAATCATCCATTTTCTTCCATACTCAACTTCCCTGCTCTTCTTCCTAAGTTTTCTCCGATGCCATCAATGGGCTGCGACCTTGCTTGACCATAGACAAGCAGAGATAATAATTCACTAGAATAGTTATAATAATAATAGCTAGCATTTATTGTGCATTTAATATATATCTAAATTTTCTCTATGTATACTTTTTTTTTTTTTTTTTTGAGACAGAGTCTCACTCTGTTGCACAGGCTGGAATGCAGTGGCGCGATCCCTGCCCACTGCAACCTCCACCTCACAGGTTCAAGCAATTCTCATGCTTCAGCTTCCTGAGTACCTAGAATTACAGGTGCGCGCCACCAGGCCCGGCTAATTTTTGTATTTTTAGTAGAGATGGGGTTTCACTATGGTGGCCAGGCTGATCTTGAACTCCCGACCTCAGGTGATCCGCCTGCCCCGGCCTCCCAAAGTGCTGGGATTACAATTGTGAACCACTGCGCCTGGCCCCTTGTACATTTTACGTCATTTATTTCCTACAACAGCTCGGTGAGTTAGATACTGTTATTTTTCCCATTTTATAGATGAAGAAATTGAGGCACAGAGAGTCAAACAGTTAGTGCGAGATATTGGAGTAACCAAAGCAGTCTAACATGAGAACCTCAGCTTCTCACAACCATGCTACATTGTCATAGAGAGGACTGGTAGAGATGATGAGTGGTATTCTGATTGGATATTGTCAGATAAGATTTAATTCTCAAGGGTTCTTTTTTTTATTATTTTCCATTTTTTCTGTATCATTTCATATGTTCTAGTTAAAGATAGGGAGCCCCTTCTTTTCCTTGACATCCTGAGACATTCCTTTAGAATCTCAGGGCCATTTTTAAAATATTTCTCTTGTTTAGCCTATTAAATATCCATCACCTTAAAAGGACAGAAATCAGATATTTGTGTTAATTTTTAAAAATAGCCTGTGGATGTTTATAAGATTAGGTTTAAGGATCTTCCTTCTCTTTTTTTCTCAAATGTTACAGTTCTCTGATTTTTCTGACAGATGCTGGTCTGGAAGTAAAAGTAAAAGACCCACCAAAAGGGATGATACCACCAGGAACTCAGTTGGTCAAACCAAAGTCTGAACCTCAGCCTAATAAGGTTAGGGCAGAATGAATTGAGAGCCGGAATCATTCAATTTTTACGTTTGTCACTGATGCTTCAAAATGGCCAGTAAACATCTAACATTTTACTTGATTTCAGGACTTGAATTCTAAATATCCCTAAATAAATTTAGAGAGTAGTTCATGGTAATATTTCTAAGTTGTAGCATGTGTACTTCTTTATTTGGTACATATTGTATTCTTCCTGCTGTGGAACATTTACAATGAACAAAAGTCTACTGAAATTAAGTGTAAAGTTTGCAAGGTGAAAATGTCCTCTACTGTCAAAAGAAAAGTTAATTTCTGAAATCTAAAGAGTAAGTACAGGCATTTTGGTAAACTGCATGTTAAAAAAATGAAATATTGGTAATTGAATTTATTTTTCTAACAGAAAGAAATGGTTTTTATCCTTCTTAACACGTATCTTCAGTATTTAGAAATGAGTTAAAATATATATAATTGTCTAAGCTTTATTTTCAGTAATACACATTTCAGTGCTTAAAAGTTCTGTTGTTAGTGTTGTTATACTGTTATTTGCAGAGGGAGCCTCTCTACAAATAATTCTGGAACCTTATTAAGAATTACGATACTTTCAAACCTGCTTAATTTTACTTCTTGCTACTTGTAAGATCTCTATTCTATGTTCTTCCTACCTCACTGTTTATCTTTGCCTTTCTCAGGTTCGAAAATTTGTGGCCAAGGACAGTGCGGGGCTTCGCATCCGTAGCCACCCTTCCCTTCAGAGTGAGCAGATAGGCATAGTGAAAGTCAATGGAACTATCACTTTTATTGATGAGGTAATTGATAAAGGAGCTTTTGGTAGTAAATTTTGGACAGAAAGTTTTTGCATTGTTTGCATAATAATAAGGTTACTGAGTTTTTTGTCAGAATATGTTTTAAGCAGTTTGGGAAATATTTTAAAACTATTTTATAGAATGTGTTCATTGAGTTTCAAACATTTCATTTATTTTATCATTAAAAAATGACTAAAATTATATTTTGAACATGAAAAGAACAATGTTCGACATAGTATTCAGAACCTGTACATGTATTCACTGAAAATGGGTATAGTTCTTCATGACATTTTAAAATGTTGTTTGTTTTGAAATGTGTTTCTTACTGCTTTAACTTTGGACAGTATATTTTTCTGGTAATATAACCAAGTAACTTCTGTTTCTTAAAATATAAATATAAGGGAAGGAAGACTCATATTCCTTTGGGAAACATCTGATTTTACTGTTTATGTATCTTAAAGTGTGGTTTCCTTGTGTTTTTATTCCTAAGTGAAATTGTTTTTACAGTCTTGCCACATGAATTACCATATTGTGTTGGCACTCTTTGCTGCTTTTTTTTTCCCTGGAGGGTCTCTCAGACTTACTTTCTGCAAAAACTAGATGCTTAATCTGCACATGCACCATCATTTTTCTGCTTTGCAGACTTTCAGACCTTGCTAGCCTCATAGGACTTACAGGAAGGCCTGGCTTGTTTCTGTTGCTTTTTTCTATAGATCCATAATGATGATGGTGTGTGGCTGAGGCTGAATGATGAGACAATAAAGAAGTATGTCCCTAACATGAATGGTTACACTGAAGCCTGGTGCCTCTCTTTTAATCAACATCTTGGCAAGAGTCTTCTGGTCCCTGTTGACGTAAGTAAAAGGTGGTTTTAAAAAGCATTATAGATACACGCTGTTTGTTTTACAGAGCTTTCTTTAATTAAGGCTTTTCAGTTCTGAGGTAACCCACAACTAAGTAACCTTTACTTTACAATTTCTTGAATTCTTAAGGGCTTCTGTGTAATGAAAGTGAAGTTTGGCAAGGTTAAGGCCCTTAGTGCAGATTATGATCCATCACAGATAGGCAGGAAGTAGTAAATTTAATTAATTGCTACTTAATTAAAACTACTGAATTCCTTTCAAAGAGGTAGAAAATGAGAGTGGTTACATTTTTTTCTTTCTTATTTATACAGCTGTGTGGAATGAATTCCAAACTAAAGTTTATGAACTCAGAATTATACATTCAAAAACATGTATAAATGTATGTTATGTTCACATTTTGCAGATAGTTCTGTGTGTTCTGTCTAATTTTGACTCTCTTCCTTCTCGGCTTATAATACTATTATTTAGATTTGTGGTGCTCCGTTGTATTCTAGTTGAAGTTAAATCCTAGTCTTTGAGAGAATTCATTGTACCTCCTTGTTGAGTATAGTAGAATAGAGCCAGTGTTCACAAGATTGCTACTTCATGAAGTATAATAATAACCCACACTTCGTTTTATATATTAACCAGGAAAGAATGATTTTTCCTTTTTTCATTACCATCAAATGTGTGTGCTCTTTAGGATAGAGCTAATAAATAGCACGGGTAAAATTTTATTTAAAAACTTAGTATTTTAAACAGTTGAATTTCTTAAAAATCCGTTTATAAAGTTAGCTTATTGTATCAAACCATTCAGTATATTCCATTTGACTTTCTCCTTGATTGTCCATAATAATGTTCTCCAAAGCAGTAGTTTATATAATACAAGACAATTCTTTGGTGAAGAAAACATTGGAATTTCTATTTCTATTTATTGATCTCATTCTTTTTTATATGCTTTTGTGTATGTTTTATAATAGCACAGTGGAGACTGTATATAGACAGAGAGCAAGAAAGAGAAGGAAGATATGTGATCAAGAAGATTTAGAGTGTTGGCTTACTGCTTTACGGAGGTTAAGTTGAACAATGATACATCTATAAGTAAAATACTAAATTTTAAATTAAAAAATTACATCAATTACGTCTTATTAAATTTTCCTCAGATTTATACCTGCAGTTAAAAATAAAAAGGATTTTGACCCTCTATGAAAGTGTATTTTAAAGAGATAATTATAGCAACCACTTTTGTACAGTTTTTTTTTCCAATATAGACTTTTTTGTTGGGCAAGGGGGAGTTGGTTTTTGTTTTTTATACAGATGGGAGAGCCAGGCGAGGTGGCTCACGCCTGTAATCCCAGCACTTTTGGAAGCCAAGGCCAGTGGATCACCTGAGGTCAGGAGACCAGCCTGGCCAACATGGTGAAACCCCGTCTCTACTAAAAATGCAAAAAATTAGCCAGGTGTGGTGGCGGGCACCTGTAATCCTAGCTACTCTGGAGGCTGAAGCGGGAGAATCGCTGGAACTCAGGAGGTGGAGGTTGCAGTGATTCAAGATCACGCCACTGCACTCCAGCCTGGGAGACAGAGCGAATCTCTGTCTCAAAAAAAACACAAAAATATAGAGATGGGGTCTCACTATGTTGCCCAGGCTGGTCTCAAACTCCTGAGCTCAAGCGATCATCTTACCTTGGCCTCACAAAGTGCTCATATTACAGGCATGAGCTACCACACCTGGCCATTGTGTGTTTTATTTAAGAAAATTTTCTTAAGTCCCTAATAAAATGTTATTCCAGATTATATTATCTTTTCTACCTTCCTAGTCCAAATTTTCTCTGATTTCTTTGCTCATTTGAGGAGCTGCTTTTGGGAGAGAAAGATACTCACACAGATAAAGCAAGTCAATAAACAAAAGTAGAAAGGAAGAGCAAGAAGTACCATCTGTCACAATTCTGAATCCCACGATTTTATTTTAAAGCATTGTGTTCTGTTACTTGATGCTTTTGAACCCCATCCAAGAGACAATCTGTAGTAGACAGTCTCCTTAAGGTCAGGGAAAGAAGGGAGTAACAAAGGTTAGAGGAGCGGTAAGGAGTGGAGTGAGGCATACAGATACTTGTGGGTGGTTTTCACTGGAATGTGAGTGCGGAGGTTGTTAATGTAAACAGCTCAAGAGTGTCTGGTATTGTTAGGAAGCTAGGGTTTTTTTGGTTTCTTCATTTTAAGAGTAGTAGTGACTTGAGAGTTTTATAAGTTAAAAGAAAGATACTAGTAGAAAAAGGGAGAAATTAAAGATATAGATGACAAGACTGAAGACTGAGAAACAGGAGGAGGAAATGGAATTAAGGGCACCTTAGAGAGCTTGCTTCTGTAAAAGAGAGGGGAATATGCATGGCAGTAGTTATGTTTTAGAGGAGGGAGGGACGAAGGGAAGAGGTTGAGGGAGACTACAAGTTCCCTTAAAATAGAAGATAGGAAAACGATCAGTTCAGAATCAAAAGAATGAGTTAAGTTAGGGGGTTGAGAAATGCAATGAATATTTGAAATATTGTTTGAAGGATTACTGGGCCACTAAAGACTCAATGAGACCACTGTATAGACCCAACTGGAATCCCCTGCCTAGTCCTTTATTGCCCTAAGTGTCTGGAATTAAAAGAGCCAAGAAAGAGCCAAGAAAGCAAATTATAGTACTAGTTGCTGAGCTGCTGTGACAGAAATAGCAATTAAGATTATCAGTTCTGGGAATGTGGACTCAGACCTAAGTTAGAAATGTGAAAGGACAAATGGAAGGTCCAAGGGATTTAGAAGATTTAATAAAATCCTAGAACAATATAGTGAATGCACTATAGTTAAAGAGTTGGAAAAATGCAGGCAATAAAGTAGAATATTTGTATTTGATATCATAGGTAGGGCACTTTAACAAATGAGATACTCTATTACATTGCCATGGGAGGGTGGCTGAAGTGCAGTGCACGTGGAAGTCACTACAAGTGCCTAAGTCTAGGAACTAAGAAGTTAGGCAGGTGGAAGATCATCTGCATGGACTTGAAGACACACAGATGATGTGACTCACAAAGTTAAAGATAAAAACAGGCTGGGCACGGTGGCTCACGCCTATTATGCCAGCACTTTGGGAGGCCAAGACGGGTGGATCACAAGGTTAGCAGTTCAAGATGGTGAAATCCTGTCTCTACTAAAAATACAAAAATTAGCCAGGCGTGGTGGTGGACGCCTATAGTCCCAGCTACTCAGGAGGCTGAGGCAGAGAATTGCTTGAACCCAGGAGGCAGAGGTTGCAGTGAGCTGAGATCACACCACTGCACTCCAGCCTGGGTGACAGAGTGAGACTCCGTCTCAAAAAAAAAAAAGAAAAAAAAGATAAAAACAATGTGTTTACCATTGGAGGAAGGGGTCCATAAGACACAATTTAAAGTCATGGGGGGATGGGAATAGTTTGGATCAGGAAGAAACAGAGCAGTTTGGTATAAAAATGAAAGAACAGGTAGATGACATAAGGATTTATGTTTTGGGTGGTGATCAAAGATGACAGATGGGGTACAGTATGGCAAAATTAATTGGCATAGGGCTCTAAACAGATCTGGGATAAAGTTACTTCAGTACAGGTATTAACTGAGGACTCATACAGAGTCAGAGGCCTGGCATAGGCAGGGACAGGTATGATTTTCTGTAGGGACTAGGGCAGACCCCTTACGCAGTCAGTACATTTTTTTTATGAGTATCTGACTGTGCAGGGCTAAACATGGTAGGACATAGAATAATGATTCCCTCTCATCTTCTCAAGGAAATAACACACCTAAATAGTTGCATCTTGCTGCCTCTTCTTTTGTATGTCTTATACATTTACTGCTGGAAAAACTATCTTTCTCCCTTCTTACTTCAGTTCGTTTAAAGTAAATGAACTTTAATCATGGCTGTTAATTGTAAAACATGACTCAATAAAAAAATGAAAGCTGGGAGATATGAAATCAAATTAGAAGTATTCAAACACCAATGCTGCTAACTTAAAAAGAAGTGAAAGTACTGAAAAGTTGCCTTCAGCACTGTTTGTGTCTATCTCTTCAACCTTTTCTAGTTAAAACAATTTTGTATTGACATCAATGTGTGCACGTTATTTGGATCCCAACTCAAACAAACTATAGAGAGAGGAATGGGGGCAGAGATTGGAAGTTTGAACACTGACTGAATGTTGGATGAATTATTTTTAAAAATAAGATTACTATAATTACCCATTTTAGATAATCCTTAAAGTGATCTTGTCATGCTGTCTTGTTTACTCATGTTTTAGAATTCGTGTATTCATCGTTAAGTATGAACTTTAGCTCAATTTGGATCTATCAGTCTTTCTATTTAAACACCATATTTGACTGAAAAATATTCATATCCTAATTTAGTTCAAAGTGACTTTAACTGTTTTTAGTAATGCTCTAGTTGAGAGACAAAATAACATTAGACATTCATATTATGACTGTATCGTTTCCAAAATAATTTTTAAGTCAATGGGAAAGATAGAGCTAAATAGATGAAGGGTTCAGATCCTCTGTGAGGCATTCATTATCAATTATGTAGAACTTTTTGCCCTTTTTAGAACACTTTTCCTTTTTTTTTTTGTTATTTTTGTTGTTGTTTTTTGTTTTGTTTTTTGTTTGTTTGTTTGTTTTTACAGCACCTTGCCCTGCCACCCAAGCTGGAGTTCAGTGGCACGATCTTGGCTCACTGCAACCTCCACCTCCCAGGTTCAAGCGATTCTTATGTCTCAGCCTCCCAAGTAGCTGGTATTACAGGCATACACCACCACACCCAGCTAATTTTTGTATTTTTAGTAGAGACGGGCAGGGTTTTACCATGTTGGCCAGGCTGCTCTCGAACTCCTGGCCTCAAGTGATCCACCTACCTTGGCTTCCCACAGTGCTGGGATTACAGACTGGGATTAAAGACGTGAGCCACTGCACCCGGCTGAGAACATGCTTTCCAGTTTTATGTCTTAAGAGTCTTTGTTTTGTTGTCTAATTTATCTAGAATGGTTTCACTTCCATTTTTTTCTAATCTTAAGTTGTCCAGACTCAAAAATTGGTTGGTGATCTTCTCTTTATTTTCCATTTTTGCTATAGTCATTAATTCATTAATTGCTCATTTAGTAAATATTTGAGTTCTTATTCGTAGAATTCTTATTTGCATTCTTGTTAGTAATAAATACTAAGCTGGAAAGTAGGCATTGGGTGGAGATGCAGAGGGGAGGGATACAGAGTAAATAACATGGGGTGAAGTTCTGATCCTTGGAGTACTCACCATGTAATGTGGTAGACATACCATATTCACATAATTAAATTGCATTGTGATAAGTTGTGGAATGGCTTCACTTAAGTGACATTTGAGGAGGACTTGAAGAAAAGTTGCCAGGAAACAGTAAAGGAATTTCTAGACAGAGAATCAAATGTTCAGAGTTATGGGGACATGCTATGTATGTGAACTAATGAATAGTTGATATAGGTAAAGCAGAGAATTGAGGGTGGAAAACAGATATGTACTGGGGAGAATAGCTTTCTCTCTTCCTTCTCAGGCAGCACTTAATCTGTAGAAGTAGAGAAGGCTTACTTCTTTCTCCAGCTACCCATAATATTTGTTTTTCTTGCCTTCAGCCCATTTGTGTTTATGTACCTCTTATTTCTGTTTTTAAGCTACTTAAGGATAAGGACTCATTCAGGATCCCTTCTCACTCACATTTGTTTCTTCCTAAGCATTAAAAATTACACTTTGCTCATAGTAGGTTTTCACAGTTTGTTGATGCTTTACACATTTGTGGATGCTTAATTTTAGTTCTTTGCATTTGATATGATCATTCTGTTTAAAATAATTTCTAACATATATATGCTCCTTGCCTTAATTATCTCATTTAATCCTCATTGTGACCCTGTGATGTTAAGCATATTATAATTCTCATTTTTGCAATGAGTAAAGATAGCCACTCACCCAGGATCACAAGTAGAAAGTAGTGGAGCTGGTATTGGAACACCAGTTGATATGATTCCAAAGCCCATGCATTTATGTTCCGTATGCATTAATCTAGTGGAGAGATAAGGATAAATATAGTTATAAAAGGATGAAGCAACTATAGCTGTAATAATCCTGTTACTTTGACTAGAACTGCCAAACTACAGAAAGATAAATACTTATAACCTTAATGGTTGAATGAGGATGAATACCATATGTATTGAAGATGACATGAGTTATTCTTTGATTGCATACCTGGGGAACATTGATTGATTTTAAATTAAAATTCTGAAGATGTGGAATCTGCAAAATGTGAGCTAGTAGAATGTTTCAAATATCAGGGACAATGCAAGTAAAAAGATGAAGAGAGAATTTATTATGCACCTACCAAGGAAGACATTAGACTCTGGAATCACAAGCTTAATTTTTTGGAAAACAAGTGTACTTCTATGATAGGAGATGTTAATGGTTTCAAACTTACACACCCAATTCTTTGGGTACTCTGTCAAAAATGAGATCTTTTAACATTGTGAGGGGGGTTGAGTGGAAGAGAAAGTTTATATCAAGGGAAGTAGATGATAGACAAATGGAAGTATTCTGAGGTATCTTTATAGTTCCCATATAATCTGAATTCTTACAGAATTGAGTTTCTGTATATCTCCATGCATTTATACAGATTACTTCTTATTTTAGGCTGATGGGTGTTCACATATAGAAAGTATACTGATTTTCCAAATTTTGGAACCTGAAAGATTTGAAGTAGAGTTGAAGAGAAAGTATCATTTGTTAATCTTGTTTGTATAGCTTCACCTGGGTTAATTGATAAAATTGGCAAATGTTTCTTGCATTTTAAATCCAATTTCATTCCTTTTTACCTAATAACATTAAATCCAATTTCATTCCTTTTTGCCTAATAACACTTAGCAGTCACAGCTTTAACATACCCCAGATTTCCTGATTTTGTTAATAGCTTTGTGTGTATGTGTATACATAACCCGTGTTTTAATCTCAATAATATTAACTTAATACAACATTAGTAAATGTGCTGTTCTTATATGGTTAAGAACAGCTTTATTTCATTCTTTAGCTTAGTGTTAAAGTTTCGTAAACAGAATGAGATTAAAACAGTTAAATTAAGATTGTAATAATATATATACGCTATTCTTAATTTTCCTGAGTCATTTCATCATTTTGCTTTAACAATGGCAATTCTTAGCTTTGTGCTTATCTAACACAAGGAAAGATTTTTTTCTTTTATTTGCATGAGCATTTGGCATGGTTGGTCACTTATTTTCACTGTGATAATTATTCACTTGTTGGTCTCTTTTCTACGCCATGAAAGATTATCAGCTTAGAGTTGCAATTTGGTGTTCATTAATTTAGTTAGATTCCCAGTATGCTTTAATTTTCTAATTTTCTTGACAGAACTTTTCTGCCTTTAAAATAGTATTTGAGAATGAAATGTTATTTTATATATATGTGTGTTCGTATATACACATGCACACACAAGCTGTGCTTATAATAATCTGTGAAATTATACTATATGAAAGCTAACATATTTTAATAGTGAGAAATTGGGGCTTTGGAAAAATTAACATTTTCCTGAATGTTCATATCTTTAGACTAAAACATTTCTAAATTTCCAAAGAACACTATTCAAGTGTGTGTGTGTGTGTGTGTGTGTTTGTTTGTGTGTGTGTGTGTGTGTGTGTGTTTGAGATGAAGTCTTGTTGTTGCCCAAGCTGGACTTGAACTTCTGGGCTCAAGGAGTCCTGCCTTCTCAGCTTCCCACGTAGCTGTGACTACAGGCATGTACTACCATGCCGAGCTATATTTTTAAATTATTTTGTAGAGACGAGGTCTCTCTGTCTTATCCAGGCTGGTCTCGAACTCCTGGATTCAAGCAATCCTCCTGTCTCAGCCTTCTGAATAGCTACGAGTATAGGCATGCACTACTCACCCAGCTATTCAAGTATATTTTATTTTTAAACTCCAGCTTTCTGTTAGTCAAATTTCTGCTTCTTGATAAATGCAGTTTTATTAGGACATTGCATTTTGAAAATAATCTTAGGGTAAACCAGTGTGAATTAAGAATTTTCTACAACTGCAGAACAAAAGCAAAAAAGTATAAAGTTTCAATTTACATGGAAGCATATACAGAATTGATTTTATTGGCAATTTATTACCACAGTTAGCAGTTAACATCATTTTAAAATATCATTGTACATGTTGTTGACTGAGAAAGCACTTATGTTTGCACATTGACTTAAAAGAGAGACATAAGCTTTAAATATTGTCAACCAGTCATCACATTGCTTCTTTATCACTAACTTTACCTGCATTACTTTTAACAATTGCCTTTCATGTTACTTTAATACTAGAATAATTTATGCTAAAAAATAGAATACGCTAAAAAAAAGTGATATTGTTTTATGTCAAAAAGTCTGTCCCACTATGCTTTGTAAGGGAGAAAAACCCATTGACCAAGTACTCTACAAATTCTTATATACGTGGATGAACCAGTATAGACATTTTTCCCCTAAAACATAGCACTTCAAAATGCTCTGCAATATGTTTTTCACTTTACCTAAAGAGAAAGGACGTATTCCCTATCCACTTTTAATTAGGGGGCAGTTGGCTTTGGTTTTGGTTTACATTTATTTGTAGGCATATTATTAGACACTTTGTTTAGAGTTTTATATGTCTTATATTTATGAATTAGTATATATTTATGTAGATGGGTGTGTACCCACATTCATCTGTACATATATATGTATATATCCATATATATATATGGATATGGAAAATATAGAACTAGAAAACAGTAAATAAAGTCTCATTATCTAAAATGAGATAATGAGAAAAGTTTCATTATCTAAAATGAGATAATGAGAAAAGTTTCATTATCTAAAATGACTTATAATTGATAAGGAATTTTGATGTTTCTTTTTTGTTGAAGTCTTAGTTGATCTTTTTTATTAATATTTTGAATGTCCTCTTTTTTGGTTCAAAATAACCGTTTATCATAATATTTACATAAGCAATAAAATTGTGCAATTGCTACTCACTAGAAAGATTTTAATTTCAAATCAGATAAATATAGATTGATAGCATGAGATAACTACGAAAATGTATATCATTTAAATTATCAGTAAAACATTTTGTGAAGATGTTAATTTTTCTAGGATAACGTTTCTGTGAATTAATTGTTCCTTAACAAAACATTTTTAGACTTAAACTTAGAGATCCTAAATGCTCTGCATTTCCTAAACTTTGAGATAGAGAAAAGTAGGCCTGTCTTTTGATAAAATTGATTACATTTTTATCTTTTGATAAAAAATTGATTGTATGTATTATGTTTTTCTTATCAAATTTGTTAGTAGCATTCAGAAACATTTCCAAATGAATTTTTTCCTACTTATAAAGGGAAGGAAAATTGAAAAAAATGACTCAGACTTTTTATTTTTTACTTTTTTAGTTTTTATTTTTATTTTTGTACTTCAAAAAGTGATAAGTTCACGTAAACTACATGCCATTATTATTCATAATGATAATTGCATTTTCTATACAATCGATATCATTTCCATTTTTATTATAAAACAGCAGACTGGTTTCTGTCATAAAACAAATCTGGCTTGTATTAGAACAAATACATCCTCATTTAAAGAATTTTAAGGTTTCTTTCTTGCATTGAGTATCTTAAGCTTTATAACAACGTCTGGCTCTTAATTTTAGTAAATGGCATGACACACTATATCCATGGAGAGCTTCTGACAAAAACTTACTTATCAGACAGAATTTCTTCGGTGTGTTGTTTACTCAGATGGCTTCAGTTTCTCTTTAGTAAAATAATATTTCCATGTTGGTGCTAGAGTACAGAAAAATGTTGTTACTGTGCACGCATCTTCTGCAGATGATATCCTGTTCCCTTTCTTTGTTGATATTTTTCTTTCTTAAACTTTGTTGCTCAGAATATCTTTAATGCTAGCCAAGGAGTCAGGGATTTGGACGTATTTTCATGGACTTCCAAAGCTTTTTTCCCCCAGGTGAGTTAACTGTAAGGAACAATAATATTTTATTCAGGTATTTCAGCATGTATAACAAATTTTGTGTCTTTAAAACCTTTGCTTAAGATTAATAAAACCTTTTAACCAAAAAAAGATCTATATGAAGTGCTGCAATTGAGTTTTCTCACTCCTGCCAAAAAGAATGTATTATTAGTTTAAGTGATACTTCCACATGACTTCAAATTTGCTATATTTAGTTTTATGAGTAGCTTTTCCAATGACTATATCTAAGATTAGTGTTTTCACAACTAACTTATTTAGGTGACAGTGTCCTGGCCTTATGGCTCTTTTATTTTTTCTGCTGCCAACACTTTCACATTCCCTCTTTGAATGTTCATCTGAGAATGGGATGGGAATGGAGGGAGAAAATAATAATATTGAAATTCATGAATTTAATATGCTGGTACCTGGGTCTTACATTTCTGTATTGAATAAAGCATGTATTTTACTATTGCTTGAGCATGATAGGCACAGTTCTATGACTTTATGTCTGTCAGTGTTTTATACTGTTTAGCACAAGAATTGGATAAACTTTGTTTTATACTTATTAATATAGTTTTATTACCTTTTCAATAAAATATTATTTTAAATTTTTAACAAGTTTTCATAATTGCCTTTCAGTGACTAGTTTGCAATTATAATTAGTTGTGCCAAGGCTTAACTCCCAGTGTTACCCTGAATGATCAAAAGTTAGAATTATTGTTATAATTAATTAAATGCACTAGGAATATTATTAAATACCAGTGAAGTTGGGTTTTTTTGCTAAATCTATGGATATTTGCTTTTTTATGTTGCCATGTAATTTTTAAGAATCAGTTGTGAGTGGGATTAAAACTTGCCCCTTCCAACTATGAAATGGCATGATGTATTTATTTATTAACCATTTACAAACAGACATTTTAAAATGTTTACAGAAAATCTTGTGAGTGTAATAGCAAGTACTATGTAAAGTTTAGACCTGTGTTACTCTCAATTTTTATCTTGAGTGCTCTCTGTGTATTCATGTAGGTTTGCATATATATAAATTCTTACAAATATATATGATGAGTATATAAAATGCGTATTTTACATTTATTTTCGGTTGTAAATCTAAGTTTTTTGAGTGTTTAAAATTCTCATTTCCGTTAAATTTCCAATATGTAACCAAAGAATATTGGTAAATAAAATATAATTACAGTAAATGTAAATTAATTTTTCTTAGTACATATTTGTATAAGTAAAAATTGGTTATTCATCACTATAGTGAGATTCACAAAATATTATGTGAAAGTTAATGGTGACTTTAACATTTTCCCTGACCAGTCATGTATGGAATTAACAAAGTAGCAGGTATACAGAATTCTTGAATCTACATATTTTTAAACCTGAGGATTCTATTTTTAATATTCTACTGTGTTACTGTGTGTATGAACATGTATACATATCTCTTCATTATGAGGCTACTGGTAGGGATAGAACTATTTAATACAATTCTATCTTGCATAATGTTAGTTGTTAAATTTTTATTCTATTTATAACATTATTAAATATCAGTTTTAACCTAATGTTTGCATGTGTGTCTCTTTATGGTTATCTATTACTCTATCTGAATATGAAATAAATTATAGAGTTCATATTACTGTATTTAAAAATGCAGTTTTAAATCTCTTTTAAAGGAGTAATGATGACAATGAGAACACCCAGTGTGGACCCTTTATTTACATTTAGTTGGGAAAAAGAGAAAATATGGAAAGGTTATTATTTCTCTTTATTACATTCACATAGGAAACAATTTTATCACAGCATTACAATTTAACAGAAAATTTAGGGAAGGTTCTTTCATTTTAGAAGTGACTCTTTTCAATAATAAATTTACGTTATATTTACTTAAATCCATGTTTAATTTCTCCTTTCTACTAAAAATATAGTCTGTTTTTCTGTTACTAGCATTAATGTATCACTGCATAGTAATGGCTTAACAAATCTAGCAAGACGTTTTTATTTGTACAATATTAGAGAGTATAAGTTGTTAAAATATTGTAAGCATCAATATTTCATTCATAACTAACAAATAGCAAGATATAGCTATATTTTTAATGCATATTTTTCATCATCTCTGCTTATGGATCAGTTTTCAGATTCTTCATACCTGTTTTCTCTATTTATAAATAATTATTTCAACATGGGAAGAAATGAATATTTAGACTTTTTTTTACCCATAACAATATACAGTAATGCAGTAATAATGATTCAAAATTATTCCCTTGTGGTTCACATAGTATAGTATTTTTATTTTTCCAACTTTAAATATTGCATTAAAGATAAAAGTAAAATCAAGGATGATTATATTTCTCAAATTATGGTGGGCAGAAGCCAGAGGTTGACTGGTTTCCTGCTATATTTTCTTGCCTTCAACTTTATTTTAAATAGCATTGTTGAAAAACTGAGATTCTTTAATTAGTGCTAATGACTAATTCTTCAGTTATCTTTAGTTATGTGTTTTTTTTATATTGACAGTACTGTAGACTTGCTATAAAAGCTATTAATAGGAAGGCTTTGAAAGTGATAATAGATTGTATTTTGTTTATTTTTCTTTCCTATTCAAATTTTCAGGAATCTAAAACTAATACTGATGACTTTTTCAAAGACATAAACTCCTGCTGCCCACAGGAAGCAACAATGCAAGAACAAGATATGCCATTCTTGCGAGGAGGGCCAGGCATGTACAAGGTAGTGAAGACGGGACCTTCAGGTCACAACATCAGAAGCTGCCCTAACCTTAGAGGTATCCCAATTGGAATGTTAGTTCTGGGAAACAAAGTCAAAGCAGTGGGAGAGGTATGGATTCTTGTAGCTTCATGACTTCTAAGATACTCATTTTTAATGTAATACAACCAAAGCATCTCTTCTAAAGGTTGCCATTTCTACCACAGGTTTTTCAATGTTAATGTATTTTATCTTTACTTGTATTGCAAATACATAATTTTTCTGTGCTTCTGTCTAATGATTTGCATAATTATCCTTGTGTAAACAATATATTAACAAATGATTTGTATTGTATATATAAATGTTTGGTATTTGCACATATTTTTTCATTATTACAAATGTACTATACCATCATGGATTATCATCACTTAAAATATTCTATGTGATCGGTATGGAGATGTGGTCATATGCAAAAGGTTTCATTTCTTTGTTCCCATTCATAGGTCTCACTGAAGTCCTGAGCAAATAAAATTACTCTTTAGGCTACTGTGGCATTTGCCTCAGCTGATAAGCTTGAAGATGTAGTGTGTCATGCTATTTCTCAGTAAGGGTCATTTTCAAGTTACACTATGGATACTCTCAACCTAAATAATAGCAAGTCGGCTGTGTTAGGACATTTTAGATGCAGAAAAAAGAAAATGAGCCATGTGTTCTTGGGTAATTCTTAAAATTATTTAGGTGTTATCTTTGTGCTTTGAAAGTTATTATTTTAACCAAATTCATAAATAAGCAGTATTTTACAGAACTTTTTATTGACTTCTGTCTTACCTCAGGCTGTGGCCTTAATTTCAGAAACTAATTTCTTAGTAGAAATGTATTGGAATGATTACACTATTCAGACACGTAAGATTTTTACTGGTTTTCAGACTGAGTTCCCTGAAAGAATCAAGCCAATCAATCATGCTTTTTGTTATGTACCAGGTAACCAATTCTGAAGGGACATGGGTGCAACTGGATCAGAACAGCATGGTAGAGTTCTGTGAGAGTGATGAAGGAGAGGCATGGTCCTTAGCTAGAGACAGAGGCGGAAACCAGTACCTCCGACATGAAGATGGCAAGTTGGCTTAAATTTGTGATTTATTCCAATTAAGCTTTCAAATACAGAAGTTTAATGCCTATTGTATTGCTTTTGTTTTAAAGAGTTTTTTGTGTGTTTGCTTTTTAACAAGCAAAACTAAAAGTTAAAAAATCTTGCAACTGTTAAAATTGGTTTGTAAAATACGTGAGTACTTAATGCACATTAAAGAAGAAAATTAAAAGAAAATTCGAAACATATAGACTCATCTTTATAAAACAGGCTTTTAATTTCATTAATATAAATTTATATACCTCTTTCTTCTGTACCAGTCCAGGACTGAACGTTCTATCCCTTCTATAATAAAATGAAACTTCGGTATTCCAACTACCAATCTCAGTACTTCTCCCAGGCAACTTCATTTGATTGCATTTTGTCTTAGGGAAAGAGCATTGAATAAATGCATAGTGTCTTTAGGGTTTCCTGTTGTTAGATTTTCAACTTTAAATTTTATTTTACCTTTTTCAACATGGCTATCACTTAATAAAATATATTCCTTTTTGTCCCCCTCTCTTTGATATCTTGGTGGCAAAAATTTGTTCTTCGAAGTTGAGACCACATTATCACTTGTGTGATGCTTTAACTGATCACAACAGAGCAAAGAATTTCTTGTGTTCCTAAAGAATTGTGCTCACCACTAGAACAATAGTGTCATAGTGAAGTTCATGTTTATTTCTTCATACCCAGTTATGAGTCCCTTGTGGACAGGCACATGGTTTTTATCTTTCCATTCCTAGTACTGAAACAGTTTTGACACATACTAGTTGCTCATGAAGTTTTGTAATACAACTTGAATTATAAAAATAATAGCACATCAAAATAAGTATGTAAGCAAACATGGACTTGTCTGCCAAATCCCAAAATTTATAGGATGAAGTTAGGTAAATAAGAGAACATGCATCTTTATTCAAAAGATAATAAATTTATAATACTTATTATTCCAAGAGGCAATTTGGCCATAAATATGGATTCAGAAAAGGTTTGAAATTTGCAATAATGATGGAGTATCTTTGGAGATATCTCCCTTTTTCCCCCCACAACACACCTTTGAGGTAGGTGATATAATCTTAAATTTATAGGTAGGAAACTCAAGCTCTAGAATTTAAACTAACGTGTCTATGGTTGTACAGCTGGTGACATAGCAGATGTAAGACTTCAGCCAGAATCTTCATTCGTGTTTTAAATGCTGTACTCATTACACCATGCTGTACACATTGAGCACAACTTGAGAACCTACCTCCTCTCCTTGTTTTTCCCAGATAGACTTTTTTTAGTCTAAGATGATATGGTCATAAAATAATGTCCTGAAACAGTAGAACTGTTCATTTGAAAAAGATAAGGGTTCCGCTTGATGTAAATCAGACATTTACTAAATGACTTTTTCACTTACTATGTGCTTATTATATATTGCTGTATATTTACTTCATATTCATAAATTTTTAAACATTTTTCTTTATATAGGAATATTCAGATATAAATGAAAATACCTAAGGGGAGATCAGCTTTATTTAAGATAAGTTAAATATGAGAACAGCTTAGGTGACTTCTAAAGGACTTTTCTAGCTTAATCCTTAATAATTTTTTAACTGGCAGTACAAAAAATATGTAAGAGTGGATTCTGAAGCAGGACTGCCAGGGTACTGATCCCAGCTGTGCAACTTTTTACTCATGTGACCTTGACCAAGTTAACCTAATATCTCTGTGCCTCAGTTTTCCCATTTATAAAATGACCTTATAGGTCATAACCACATAAATTTGATATGAAGACTAAATGAGCAAATAACAGATAAAGCTAATGGATGGTAAGTTAGGTCTTATTGTTAAAATGCAAAATGCCTTCCATGCTAAGGATCAAGTTTTAACCTGGGAAATTTTATTCTTATAAACTTAGAAGATAGAAGCTTCTTTCAAGATAAAATGCCTCTTAAATTAGAGTATCATTTAAGAAAAGTTTAAATTTTTCTCTGTAATTAGTTAATCATCTTTTACTCTTGATGTATAGATACAGACATAAATATGGATATTTGGTGATCATGTGAATCTTACTATTTTAATATAAAACCTGGAGTGATAAGGAAAGAAATGATATGAAGTTAGTGCCTTTAAATCACTAAGATTAGTTGATGTGCTGCCCAAATAGTCTGTTCATTGGTGATAATATTTAATATGGAAGTACAAAGATTTGGCACTATGGTAATTTATATGAAGTCATGTGAGTAAAACAAAAGCTTTCCTCTTTGTAAAAATTCTCTATTGGTCTTTGAAATCTGTAGTAGGCAAAGTTACTGCTGTGGTAAAAACAGACTTCACTCTGGGTGCTAGACCATTCTTAGTCTAGAGAGGAAGCAGTGCTATCTTTTCCGTTCAGTTTACTGTTCATGGGTGTTTTTCTGAAGAAACATTCTACTGCTGAAATATTGCATGCTGAAGAGTATTGCCTAAGGGAAGTGCTAAGATTGGTTTTTTAAATCAAGTCTACAAATGCTGGTAAAGGGATAGATTATACAGTACCACTGGTTTAGCAGAATTGCAATTTACAGGTAGGAAGGAAACACTCTACCACACCCTGTCTGTAGTTCCCTGTTCTGTTTAAAGGACTATTGACTTTTTTTTTTTTTTTTTTTTGAGATGGAGTCTCGCTCTGTCACCCAGGCTGGGGTGCAGTGGCGCGATCTCGGCTCACTGCAAGCTCCGCCTCCCAGGTTCATGCCATTCTCCTGCCTCAGCCTCTCTGAGTAGCTGGGACTACAGGCGCCGGCCACCACGCCCGGCTAATTTTTTGTATTTTTAGTACAGAAGGGGTTTCACCGTGGTCTCGATCTCCTGACCTCGTGATCCGCCTGCCTTGGCCTCCCAAAGTGCTGGGATTACAAGCGTAAGCCACCGCGACCGGCCAAGGACTATTGACTTTTAAAAAAGATATTTAAGATACTTAAAGATATTTTAAAAATAAGATATTTAAAAATATACTTGAGATATTTTATTTTTCATAAGGTTATTTTAATGGAATAAATACCTTTTCCCCCCAATTTTACTTGACAGACTTTATTTTGCCTTTTTTGGCTGGCATTAATATGGATATTTAACTAAGGTATTGTTTTATATCAGACAGAGTCTTGGAGCCAGTTGATTGTTCATAGGGGATTAATTTAGTTTGCATATTTTATAGGTCACATCTTGCCATTTGTAAATGGATAAAACATTTGCCATTTTCTGCTTGAAATAAGAATTCTGATACATTTATAGACTCTGATTATGTAACATGGTTTATTATTATCCTTCTATTTGGGAAAAATATCTTTATGTGATAAAATAAGTTAAAAGTTAAGTTTTCCATAATTTTCACATTCATAACTTAGAACAGTTAACAAATGAAAATTCCTTTTGGTACTAGATACTTAGTTTTTTTCTCTATTCTAATACTAATATGCAAAATACTTTTATTTCTGGTTTATAGGTTATCCATTTTGTTTTGCAAAATACTCTTGTATAAATTTGTTGCAAATACAAAGAGTTCCTGGTCCAGAAATATTAGTATGCATTCAGTAATGTATCCTGCCACAATAAAAGTAAATTGGCTTCATAAGAGCCTATCTCATTTCTAAATTTCACTGTGTATTTGATAAATAAAAACAAAGATTTGTCAGGTGCTTTGTTAATGTTAAGATGACCTGACTGGTATTTAAATTGATCAAATCTAGATGTGAGCTTATTTTAAAATCTAACCATCATAAAATCTTTTGCAATTTTCTCTCTTTGTTGTATGAATAGGGAATAGCACGTAAGAAACTAATGTTACAGCTATGGCTTTTATTGTAGAACAAGCTCTTCTGGATCAGAATTCTCAAACTCCTCCTCCAAGCCCTTTCTCAGTGCAAGCTTTTAATAAAGGGGCAAGTTGCAGTGCCCAAGGATTTGATTATGGACTCGGAAATAGCAAAGGTAGGTATTTAAAAGTAAGTCTTTTACTTACCTAACTTCAATATTTTTTATTACCTTCTCTTTTATACACTTTTTATTTGTGTTCACCCAGAAATCTTTATTAAATTAAAATTTGTTCATGGAAAGCTAATAAAAAATGTTTACAAAGGTGTTCTTTTCATAGTATTGTTTTTTGCTGTTGTTTTTTGTTTTTAACCAGTTTTGGCTTAAGTTTATGAGAGTGCTTGCTTATTTTTTTTCTATTTAAAAAACACTCATTTTGATTTCATATCCTAAAGATTCTATTTCACTAAATCTAGTAAAATTTGATTTTTATCATCCACTTATTAGGATGGTAATGTTAATGAGAAACAGAGAACTTGCTCAAATGATCCATTTAAAATCAAACTATTACTTCTAAATAATATTTTTAAGTAATATTACACATGAGCTTTATAAAATTTATGTGGTTTTGAATTTCTAACCCAGTAATCTTAGTTAATTTAGAATTATGTGAAATGATCTGTTTGGTTTTAATATCTATAATAAAACCAGAAAGTTGTAAAAAGAAGAAAACCCTAAGTCATATGAATATAATATATATACAGCTGTTTTGGCTGCATTAATGGAAGAGACCAGCATCATGGACTGTCCAAACAATAGTTAATTTTGAAACAATTTATGCTGGAGGTTCATCAGAAATTGCATTTTTATGTGAATTCACACACTCTTGTTCTTTCCTATGTACCTGATCTAGACTCCTTCAAAATCAGCCCTATTGTCCACAGGTAACATACAGCTGGGTCATGAGTAAAAGGGAGCAGATAGCTTACGTGGAAATAATTTTACTTTAATTTTATTTAAATTAATTCACAGGACTTGATTCCAAGGGACAAATACAGTGTCATTATACCTGACTTGAAGAACAAGTGAAAAAATAAAACAGTGAACAAAATGTATAAGGAATATTCTGTTTAAAATAAAACTACTTCTATTGAATAGCTTCATTACTTTCCACAAAGTATTTTTATGAAGGAAACCTAGCCACAAGATTTTTTTTTACTCCCTTGGACTAGCCTATCTCATAGGATTGGGTATCATCTGCTCGCTTACTTCGGGTACCTGATTTCCATTAACTTAAGCTAGATCTTTGTACTTACATAGTGTAAATGCTTGGTGGTGTTTTCTTTATGTCCCTTTCTCTTTACCTTTGTCAACTCTTAAAATCTCAGCATTTGCTTACCGCTACTATATCTCTATATAGTAATGTTTTAAAGCCTTGTTTAACACAAATTGTATGCTTTCAGTCTTTAAACTGTCTGTCATTGTACTAATAGCTATCACAGTAAATCAGTCATTATAATTTATTAAAATATCATTAAAATAAATATAAATGTTTGAGACACAAACATTGCCGAGAAAATTTGTTATTATGTACAAATAATAAAGTATTACTTTTTAAACATGAGATTTTGTGAATATCGTTCAAAAATAGCATGCACCATGCCAGGCATAGTGGCTCATGCCTATAGTCCCAGCTACCTGGGAAGCTGAGGCAACAGGATCACTTGAGGCCAGGAGTTTAAGGATGTAGTCTGCTATAGTCGTGCCTGTGAATAGCCACACGCTCCATCCTGGGCAACAGAGCAGGATCCTGTTTCCTTAAAAAAATATTAATAATAAGCCTACTCTTGTTAACAAGCTTTTAAAATATTTAGAAGGAGCAAAGAAATAATAAGAAACTTAAACTTGATGAAATATATCTAACTTTATTATCTGTAACAGTAGTTCCCATTTTAACTCTTAATACTGTCCAAGATCGAAGAGCTGTTTTTTGTAAGTTTTTTTTTCTTAAAACAGTATTTTAGAAAATTCTTCATGATCTCTAAATTTTTTCCTATAATCTACAGCATTTATTTATTATTTCAAAAAAAGATATATGGCTCGTGTACACAGTTCTTTCCACATAAATCTATCCCGTGTAGGTACTTCAGTTGAAATTTTCACATATGAAACTTTATTATATTTCAGAAATATGACTAGAAAGATACTATTTTCCAGTTTCTGCATCACCTAGTCTGGATGTAGTTCCCTCTCCCCACCTCCAGCATCATTTAAACTATTTAATGTATACTCACAAATAAGGAGTTATTATCCATCACATAATTTCATTATCTTAAAAAAAATTTTTGTAAAACCTTTTGGTACAAGGAAAAATGTTAGAATCGATATTTTAGATACTATTCAAATTAGGTAGCTCATAATCCTTTTTGTCATATAGGACTTACAGATTTTTAAATTATTCATCTAAGCAAAATATTTCATGCTTTTAAAGTAGAATTTCTTTGGCAGTAACAACTTAAAAAAGAAAGTATTAATTTATAACTATAATGTAAACACATTGCTATGTTAATAACATACTTTGCCCCATTCTGCTTTTTGAAGAAAAACTGTTAATTGCTTATTTTCTGCATGAAATATACTGCCGATGAGGCAGGGTGGTATTAGTCATTGTTGGGAACTATGGAAAAGGCATCATTTACTTAAATCTTCATTTATATATGTTCAATATTGAAGCAATTTATCACTGATTCTTCATAGAGTCTTCGTTCTCCCATACATAATGAGAGATGTTATATATGAATTTAAATGGATTTGTTTTTATAGGTGGGCTTCTATATAAGATTTGGTGGGGCGCTTCCATTAAAAAAAAAAGCTTGCAAAATTCGGTCCCTAATCTGAGGATGATTAACAGTCACCAATTTTCACTCATTTCTGAATTGGCATGGTTTTATTTAGTGTTCAACTCTATCTGAATGTCATAAAGCACCATTTACTTTGCCATTTTGGATGTTAATGAATAACGAGTTGTAGTTTTGACTGTTTTACCCACTGCAGGTGACCAACTGAGTGCCATATTGAATTCCATTCAGTCACGACCCAATCTCCCAGCTCCTTCCATCTTTGATCAAGCTGCAAAACCTCCCTCTTCCCTAGTACACAGCCCATTTGTGTTCGGACAGCCCCTTTCCTTCCAGCAGCCTCAGCTTCAGAGTAAGTCTGTCAGCCTTACCTGCCTCATCAAGCATTTCTGAAGCTTTGTTCTGAGTTGCTTATCAGTTACTAATTAGTTATCAACTCACCTGACTGGTTTTTTTTAATTAGGATGTTATCCCCTCCCACATTTTTGAAATATCTAAGCTATTCTGAGCTAAGACATTCTGCAGCTAAGACATTTAAAGTTGATTTAAAGTTCATATGCATGACTATGGTAAGCATCACATACAGGGACAACTTTCAGTGGATTTTTCTTACTTCAAGATGTCCCAAAAGGATAAAGCCATTTCACTCTTATCAGTGGGTAGAAGAGAGACTGTACTTGTTTGGACAGGTTTGTTTGTTTTTTCTAAGTGAATTTGGTATCTATGAAATGTATGACAATTTAGTTTTCCCGGTTTTCTCAAATTGTTGTTTCCTGTCTTTATTTTTATTTTTTTGTTGTTGTTCCTAATATGTTAAATTGATCATTTGATTCCAGTTCTGTCTTTTAGGATTGCTCTAGTCCTTCATTCATGATAGTAATTCACATTGGTTTGGAAAAGATACCCAAAAAAATTATACTTAACTGAGTGTTCTTTTTTCTTAATAACCTCCTGAACCTTCCACCTAAACTTTTCAAAGCTCTGTCCAGTATGACAACAGTGTGTTCTTCTTGGCATTCAGTTCTCATGTTGGCTATACAATATATAAACACATTAATTGAATGAGCTAGTTTATGAAAGTTTCAGCTTGTATACCATTTTTCGGATTCAAATGCACAACCTCTTTGCTTTGGTAAAGTACATTCACACTTAGGTCTAAGTTATTTGTTTACAAAAATACTTTAATAACTGTTATTAGGGTCATGTAAAAGAATGCTAGCTGGTTTAGTTTTTATTAAAAACTAGGTTAGTATGTAGCTAGCAAATGATATTATTCATTACTTTATCCACCTTAGGTAAAGGGTACACAAGAGTATAAACTTTTCTGGGTTTCCACTATCCATTAGGAAAGTTTAATTGATGAAATTAATTAGTTTGGAAATATAAGTACTATCAATTTCTAGCTTATCATGTTCGTTCATGTATAATATTAATTTGAATGTCTATTAAGAGAAGAATTTCAAAGAAACAAAATAGTGTCACATGTGCGAAATAGTTTTTTCCTTCTATGATAAATATTATTTTAGAAGAATGAAACAGAAGTGAGGAGTTAGTTTATTAATTTTGTGTTGCATCAGACTTTTTACATTTAGAAGTACTACTTAGGTTTCAAGAAGTTTTAAAGGTAAGGACAAAGGGAAAAACAAAGGAAAAATATCAGGATCAGTCAGGTAGAAAATTTATACTAGAAAATTTAAATTCATTCATATTCAAATTCAGTTTTAAATGAAAAATTGCCTGTGTCATAGCAGTAGCAGACAAAAGAACTAAGGAGAAAGGAGAACCTTTTTGTTCTAGCTAAAGAATCATTGCAAGTCTTTACAAAAACAAGCATAATTACCATTTTAATTTTACCAAATTTAATTAATAAAATATTTCAAAACAATAAACAGTAATAAAAGTTGATTTGTCTCTTCCAGGGAATAACAGTTTCTAGGTGACATTGTGTCAATATAATTTTATGCATATGTGTTATCAGTACCACCACTTTATTTACCACTATCTTGAAGCAAATTTGAAATCATGGCTTAGCTATGTTTCAATTAGCAATTTTCTGAATCATTACTTGCCTATAGTCCAGCAATGGAAATTACTTAGGTCTTGTTTTAAACTTCTTATTCGCAACAGGACGTCTCTAAATTTTGACTTCCAAATTCCAGAAAATGGAAGTCTTAATCTTTAGCATCACAAAAAAAAGTATGGAATCTGAAAATAGTTTTAATTTTTTAAAATAATTCAGAATTGTATTTTTTATACCGTGTTGGGAAAGGTAAATGTGGCAAAGTGCCAACATTTAAGACTCCCCAAGCAAGGTATTCTTCCCTGAACCTCACTACCATGTATCCCACTAGTATATCACCTATGCTTTAGAAGATGGCTTATTCTTAGTGAACTTCCCTATGCTATTTAGTAAAATGAGATTTATTTTTGTTTTATACCTTTGTGATACTAAATAAATCATTATGTAGAAGACCATATTTACTCAACTTTGTTTATACTGATAGTCGCCACTATGTAGTAAACACTGTACTTAAGCACTTTGATACAGCCTCATTTGAGATACTGTCTCTTATGTCTGTTTTACAGAGAAGGAAACATAGGCTTAGAGAGGATAAATGATTTGCCCCAGAAACATACATAGTAAAATGGTAGAGCCAGAACTTGAGGTCAATTCTGTTGACTACAAAGGCTATTTTAAATATTCAGCCTTACCTCGGTAAATAATGCAAAATCTACTTTAATATATATATATTTTTAATTTATATTTAAACTAGGTCTGGCATCTAGAGTATTAGCTTTGTTCAGATTGATTATTTTTCTTTTTATAGTTTGACTTTTTTTAATGTAACAGTAGTTTGAATGGAAAAAAAGATTTCCTGAATGTCATAACTCAAGATCCTGGTTAACTAGAAAAATTCTACAAAGACACACATCAACCGGTGCATGGTTTAACTTCATCTAGCATTTCTATGAGCATTATTATCTGTAATTCTTTGGTTTTTTTTTTCCGAATCATAGTTTTTACACCTATCTTTGGAAATTTGAAAATAATCTGGCACATTAAGTTAATTTTTGATACCTTTTCTTTAGAATCAGGCAACATTTTATTCCATAAAATAGAATATTTGGTAATTTTTAAATTAGCAAAATTATTTGATTTTATATACGTAGAAATTATTTCAAGTGTTATTCTAGTGAAGTAGAATGTTATAGAAGTAAAAGTTAACAAATTTCCCTTGTCTTATGTGTGTGCACACAGAGACATGAAAAAGAAAAGTATGTATATAGAATTTTCTTTACTGTTCTACAATTTACTTTTTAATTTAAAAACTAATTATATAGTTTTTAGAATTGGTAAGCAATTTGGCAAAAAAATTTTAGTGAACCAAAGTGGAGAATGATATCTGTATCTGCTTTCTTTAAGAATATTACATTCCTTATTTTCATTATCACCATTTCTCTTGAAAGCTTCATTTTATGTCCTGTACCTTCTGACAGTGTCTTACACATCACAGGCATTCAAGGAGTGTTTATTGACTGTAGGTATTTAAGATTACCATTTCATCAATTTAAGATCTTGTGTTTTCTATTATGATATTCCATTGTTTACTCAGAGAACATCTTCAAAGAAGAGAATTTATTTCTTTCTCTTAGTAATTAAAGCCAACTATACTGTGACAATATGATGTATGATAATTGTGGGTTTATACTGATTGAATTCTAAGCAAGATTATCCAACTGAAAAACTATATTGCAAATGGCTTCATTTAACATAGCATTTTATCACTTTCTACCTACTGTTCCAGAGGCTGAATAGTTCATTTTTCAACTTTTATTTATTTGTTTGTGGTAGAAAAATGGCAAATAAAACTGAAGACAATTTGCTTTTCTCCCAGAAACTTTTTAATACTTTTTTTATTTTATAATGTTTTATTTTTAATTTTGATGGGTACATAGTAGACATCTTCCAGCAATTTCAAACATGAAATATATGATATATGTCAAAAGACAGTACTTTCAAGCACAGATATCATAGCTCTAGGTTACCTTGCAACAAGAGTTTTTCTATTATACTCATAAGTCACATTCTTATGTGGGACAAAAAAAATTAAATGTGACCCCAAAATTCATTTGGATATCTGCATGACTATTTATTTACATTTGAGAATATGAACACACTAAAGTACTATGTTTACTTAGCTTGTAGAAACATAGTCATGGAAAGACTTTCAGCTCAGATTTCCCTTCCAGCTACTTACTAGCTCTCTAAGTTATCTGACAGGTCTGAATTTTTGTTACCTCATTATAAAATGGGATTCCCAATAAATGTTATCTTTTGATGTTATTATTGCCTTTTGATGCAAATACTTAATACCTCTCATGCTTTGAGGAAAATATAGAAAAAGTCCTTCTCTAAAAGAGAGCAATCTATTCTTGGTGTGGAATGAGTTGCAGGAAGGAATTTAGAAAGGGACAAATGAGCTTTCCTAGTTCCTTTTGGGTCTATTTTTGCAATGTAATTCAGTTACCTATTTTAAGATTCTTAATGTATTTAGACTGCATTCAGATGTTAGTGTGAATGTTAGCATAAAAGCCAGGTTTGTTTGTAAGGCTTAGACTGAGTCATTTCTACCCCGGATTATAATCTCAGCACTGTATTTGTCAGTTTGTTGTTTGCCTGCTTTGAAGGTATGTGGATGAAGCACTTGATTTAGGAATGAGGACCTGTGGGATTTAATCCCTGTTTTAGAAGATTAGAGTCAGCATTGGTTCACATATCAAAGTTTAATAAAACTTTTCCACTTGACTTTATAACATCTGTCACAACAACCAACATATTTATTTTAGTTTTGGGGCTAACATCTCCAGCATCCCTACAAATACAAATCATTTTAGGCATGGGCTTGAATTTATCTTCACTGAGCTGAGCCATCTTCTCAGTGACCTAAAAGCTTTGACCCAGGTATTTTGTTTTGCTGCTTCATCAGTGATTTATTCATCCACCCTTTACTTCATCCTAGGAATTCAAACCACAAAGAATGCTGATGTTGCTTACAAGACATTTTGTCCCAGTGCATTTGTTTGCTTTCTCCTGGCTTGATTTGACCTTTTATCTCTCCCTCTTCCCCCACCTCTTTGTTTGCTACTGTGTTTATTTCACCCTTCATTACCATCTTTCTTTAGATGACTTATTCATTCTTCCATTTATTCACCTGCTTTTGTTAAGTATCTACTCTGTGCTAGGTTATGGTGATGAGCAAGGTTAAAAAAAAAACAAAAAACCATGATCACTGATCTTGAAGGCTTCTAGAATATTTTAAGAGATACAACCTAGTTAAAGAAAAAATAATGGCATGTTTTAAGTGCAACAAGAGCAGTAGTCACAGGATGCAATGGAAACATAGGAAAGCTTCTGGCTCAGCTAGGAGAGGTTAGAGAAACATTCAAAAAAGAGGCAGGTCCTACTCAGAGTGTTGAAGGACTTGTGAGAATTTATCAGGCAAGGAGGAGTGGAGATGAGGAAGGAGGTTAATGGAGCATTCCAACTATAAGGATAACATGAGTTACATTACAGAGATCCAATGAATCACAAAGTATTTTATTGAGTCCACCTACGTGTCAGGCAGTGTACTAAGCACTGTTCATGCAGAGGGCCAGTTTGGAGTAATGAAACTCCAAAGTTTGATTAGAATAGGCTTAGGAGAAAACGGGGAAGGAGAAATTGGAGACAATGAGTATAGAGAAGTGTGTCAAGATTTGATCTAAAGAGAAGATACTAAGAGAGAAGATACAAGATCTGGAGAGGTTTTTGTTCTATTTTGTTTGTTAATGGAAAAAAAAGTATATCAAGGTTGTTTTCTAATGAGAGTAATTCAGTTGAAAGAAATATTAATAATGCAGGAGGGTGAGGAGAATTACTGGCACAATATTCTTTTATAGAAGAGGGGATGCAGACCAGGCGTAGTGGCTCACACCTATATTCCCAGCATTTGGCAAGGCCAAGGTAGAAGGATGGCTTGAGGCCAGGAGTTTGAGACCAGCCAAGACAACATAGCAAGTCCTTGTTTCTATAAAAATTAAGAAAAATTTTTTTAAAGATCAGCTGGGCATAGTGATGCACACCTGTAATCCTAGCTACTTGAGAGGCTGAAGCAGGCAAATCACTTAAGCCCAGGAGTTCGAGGCTGCAGTCAGCCATAATTGCATGCCACCCCACTCTAGCCTGAGCAACAGAGTGAGACCTTGTCTCTAATATGTATATATACAGATATAATATATAATATATAAAATACATTCTATATAAAATATATATTATATATTATATAAATAAAATATTATATATAAAATATATATTATATAAATAAAACATTATATATAAAATATATATTTTATATATATATAATATAAAGAAGAGGGGATACAGTCCAGTGCAAAGTGGAAAGGTTGGCTAAGTGGGATCATAAATAGTTATCCATCATAACAAGCAAGAAAGAAGTATGTATATTATTGGGAGCTCTTTTTTCTAAGTAAAATAGGAAGCACTTATCAGCTCGGAGTTACCATGGAGAGACTGCATTGATAGTTTGAGGAAAGAGAAGATATGAGATTTTAAAAGCTAACATATGTCAAATATTTATCACATGCCAGGCACCATTCATGGGAATCAACTTTTATCCCTGTCCAAGAACATGGTTCACTTGAGAAACTTCATGCATGTGCAGCTTTAAGTGACCTAGTGTCAGTGTCTTAGACTAGAGAGGTTGGGGCTGGATCATGAAGGGTCTTGTAAGCCATACTTAGTTTAGACTTTATGTGCAGTGAATAAATGGAGGGAGCACATGGAGGAAATTGTTCTGCAGAATTTTAAATAAAAAGAGTGATATGATCAGTTTTACATTTGGGACAGATAACTGAAAATATTATGAAAAAGGTCCTGGAGAAAGGGAGAATGTTGGAGGCAAAGAATCCAGAGAAAAGCTGAGTAGGGTTTAAGCTAAGGTTAATTGCAGGGAGAATGTAGAAGAAATATTTAGGCAGTAAAATGCTTAGGACCAGTCTGGACAACAAAGCGAGACCCTGTCTCTACTTAAAAGAAAAAAAAAAAAAATTAGCCAAGCATTGAGGGCTGCACCTATATTCCTGGCTACTTGGGAGGCTGAAGCAGGAGGATTCCTTGAGCCCAGGAGTTTGAGGCTGCAGTGAGCAGCCTGGGCGAAAAGAGCAAGACCCTGCCTCTTAAAAAAAAAAAAAAAAAGGAAGTGACATGCTGATTAAAGTTAGGAGCCAGTCTCAAATGACATCTACTTTTATGCTCTGTTTTGAAAGGTAATATCTTATCTAGTACCAAGAATAAAACACAAAACCACCTTTTAAGGAAAAATGAGTTCGGTTGGATGACTTAGCTCCAGTTGGCTATAATATAACTTGAAATTGAGAAATATATTTAGCATTCTCATAATTAAAGATGGCATTGTTGACTGACAAGTTGAAAATAGAAAATTATTCATATATTACATTTTATTAAAAAATATTATTAAAGCATTCTCATGATTTTGCACTCAATTTAGGAAGGATTAGGTCTGCTATATCTCCCACTTTGTTATTCTCTCAAACTTCTGTACCTGTAGTATATCTCATTACTTAAGCTGAACAAAACGTTCATTTTTTGTAATCAGACTTCTCATCCTTATCATCAGATTGTCTTTCCTCCTTTGGTTTATTTAAGAAGTGTGCATCAGCAGCAGCCGTTATGTCTTATGATGGCATAATTTCAAGTGTTCTAGGGGCCTAAGAAGTTATCCAGCTCTCATTTTGAGATGAGAGAATTCTTGCTGACTTGCCCAAAGTCATAGCTGGCAAATCTAGGACTTGAACATGAGAGTCTGTATTGGGGGAACCCGCCCCCAATATTTCAACGTAGGTTCTTTCTATTTTCCCTAAGCATTGGCCAGTCTGAGAAAAAAAGAGAAAGAGTACAAAGAGGAATTTTACAGCTGGGCCTCTGGCGGTGACATCACATATTGGTAGGACCGTGATGTCCTCTGAGCCACAAAACCAGCAGGTTTTTATTAAGCAGGTTTTTATCAAAAAGGGAGGGGATGCAAGAACAGGGAGTAGGTCACAAAGATCACATGCCTTAAAGGGCAAAAAGATCACAAGGCAAAGGGCAAAGCAAAGATCACAAGGCAGAGGGCAAAATTAAAATTACTGATGAGGGTCTATGTTCAGCTGTGCACGTATTGTCTTGATAAACATCTTAACAGAAAACAGGGTTCAAGAGCAGAGAACCGATCTGACCTCAATTTCACCAGGGTGGGGTTTTTTCCCCGCCTTCTGAGCCTGAGGGTACTGCAGGAGACCAGGGCGTATTTCAGTCCTTATCTCAACCGAATAAGACAGACACTCCCAGAGCAGCCGTTTATAGACCTCCCCCCAGGAATGCAATTCTTTTCTTAGGGTCTTAATATTTAATATTCCTTGCTAGGAGAAGAATTTAGTGATATCTCTCCTACTTGCACATCTGTTTATAGGCTCTCTGTAAGAAGAAAAATGTGGCTCTATTCTGCCTAACCCCGCAGGCAGTCAGACCTTATGGTTGTCTTCCCTTGTTCCTTGAAAATCGCTGTTGTTCTGTTCATTTTCAAGGTGCACTGATTTCATGTTGTTCAAACACACATGTTTTACAATCAATTTGTACAATAATGGTCCTGAGGTGACGTACATTCTCAGCTTACAAAGATAACAGGATTAAGAGATTAAAGTAAAGACAGGCATAAGAAACTGTAAGAGTATTATTTGGGAACTGATAAATGTCCATGAAATCTTCACAATTTATGTTCAGAGATTGCAGTAAAAACAGGTGTAAGAAATTATAAAAGTATTAATTTGGGGAACTGATAAATGTCCATGAAATCTTCACAATTTATGTTCCTCTGCCACGGTTCCAGCCAGTCCCTCCATTCAGGATCTCTGACTTTCCGCAACAAGTCTGCTAACTCATTCCAGTGGTTTTTTCCAACTGCATCTCAGTTATCTTACATAGACTGCAAGAAGTGAGAAAGACAAGAGGTTATCTAGTCCAGCCTTGCTATTTTATAGTTTAAATCCCTCAACCACATCCCTGATGAACTTTTGCCAGGCCGGTAATTAACAATATCACAAGGCTGTTCTGATTGTCTGTATTTCTCAGTGTTTGTTAGAGCAGGGATGTCCAACCCCCAGGCCACAGACCAATACTGGTCCAAGGCCTGTTAGGAACCCAGCTGTACAGCAGGAGGAGAGCATTACTGTCTCAGCTCTACTTCCTGTCAGATCAGCTGCGGCATTAGATTCTCATAAGAGTGCAAACCCTAGTATGAACTGTGCATGCAAGGGATCTAGGTTGAGAGCTCCTCATGAGAATCTAATGCCTGATGATCTGAGGTGGAGCAGTTCCATCTTGAGACTATTTCCCCAACCCCCCATCATATGGAAAAATTGTCTCCCAAGAAACCAGTCCCTGGTCCCAGAAAGTTAGGGGACCATTGTGTTAGAGAACTAAGGAAACCGTCCTCTACCTGCCACATAAGAATAAAGGAAACAATGGAACAGTTTCCCTACTTTCCCTAATTAACACGTATTCCCATTTTGAGGCAGTGAGTTGCTGGTACCTGCTTTCTCCTTCTTTCTCCAAATAGTACTTTAAAAGTATCTTATCCTGGCTGGGCACAGTGGCTCATGCCTGTAATCCCAGCACTTTGGGAGGATGAGGCGGGTGAATCACGAGGTCGACCATCCTGGCTAACACAGTGAAACCCCGTCTCTACTAAAAATACAAAAAATTAGCTGGGTGTGGTGGCAGGCACCTGTAGTCCCAGCTACTCAGGAAGCTGAGGCGGGAGAATGGTGTAAACCTGGGAGGCAGAGCTTGCAGTGAGCTGAGATCGTGCCTCTGCACTTTAGCCTGGGCAACAGAGCAAGACTCCATCTCAAAAAAAAAAAAAAAATAAAGTATCTTATCCTAAAAGCACTTCTGTTTTTGGTTTAGGTTTTAGCTGTCTTTGTGCTGCGTAAGCGTTGTCTCTTTCTCAGGATGTCACTTCTGGAGGCAGGAAAGGGTTATGGTTAATGCTAATCACTTTATCAAAATGTCTGATTTCTCTGATGTATAATTAATATTTTTCCCTTGCAACTAATAAGCAACTTGTGGGAGTAAGATTTTTACTTTTAAAAGCATATCCAACCTTCTTGTGTCTCAAGTTAATGCTCGGGAAGCAATACCTGTCTCTTATATTTTGAAGTTATTCTTTCTAAGGCCTAAGATATATACCCATCAAATTATGCTCAGAATTTTTGTCTCAGCCATCACAAACCCTGAAATGATACGCTTTTCCTAAGTGTTATTTTCCTTAACCATATTTACTAGAGATTTGGAATATATTCAATAATATGCTATGAGTATGTTTTCTTCAAGTTCAATTATGTGTAGATGTCATTTAGAGAAACAGTATATTTTGGGGGGAATCCACTTTATGTGTCCCATCTTCTTTCCACATTCAGATCATGTGGATTAATGTCATAGTCTAGTAAAAAGCTTGTTTCTATTTTATCCTTAAGTTTAAAATGTTGTTCTTTCATTCTATTAGCATGATTCTTTTAGTATACTAACATTTATGTAAATAAGTCTTACATAAATACAGTTATATAAACAAATCTTTAGTCTAATTCTTTTAGTATACCAACATTTATGTAAATAAATCTTAGTTTCTGTTCCACGTCCTAAGCTGCTTTACCATTCACATAATTCCATATTCCTCCTAAGTTTACTACAAAGAAGAATATTAGATGTATTGATTATGCAGTGATACTGCATCTAAAGCTGTCAGTCAAGAATGGCTGCCATAGCTAAGAGTATATACAAATCATCACTGTTACTTTATTTTATTTTTTTAATTTTATGTATTTATTTATTTTTTTGAGACAATTTCACTCTGTCGCCCACACTGGAGTACAGTGGTGCAATCTAGGCTCACTGCAACCTCCCTCTCCCAGGCTCTAGTGATCCTCCCACCTCTGCCTCCTGAGTAGTGAGGACTGGAGGCGAGTGTCCCCACACCTGCCTAATTTTTGTATTTTTTTGTGGAAATGGGGTTTCACCATGTTGCCTAAGCTGGTCTCAAACTCCTGGGCTCAAGCAATTTGATTGCCTTGGCCTACCAAAGTGCTAGGATAACGGACTTGAGCCACTGTGCCTAGTCCTGTCACTTTCTGAAAAATCCTATGAAGCATTAATAGAAGTAAAATCACACTTAATTATGCCTGTTTTTAAATCTGCATATTGTTTGATTAATCACATCTTTTGGCCAAGTTGAAGGCATAATTTATATATTGTCTATAAGAATCAATAAACTAGTTTCTAAATATGTTTTAAATAAATAATTTAAAAATTAATTTCTCAAATATCCTCAACTATAAAGTTAGACCTATTTACTGTTTCTTGTAGGAGCCTATTGCTGTCAAAAATATCTGAAGTTCTATTCAGAGAAAAATAGAAATGCACAATGACTGGGACTTAAGCTGAGGAAAGTCAGCAACACTGTTCCCATCATTCTACCATAAATGTGGCAAAATCTTATTGTTTGTGACAGATCTATAGAATTAGATTTTCTTATATCTAAAGAAATATATATAAATACATAAACGTAGGTATGTATAGCATGAACAGAATACAGTGCTATTTGACCATTGTCACAAGACTTATTTATAAAACCTCCTCAAGCTCTTGCCAATATCTTAGTTAAGATTGCATCTAAGGTGGGAGGAGGATGAAGATTGAAGAACTGTCAGGTAATGCTTGATTACCTGGGTGACAAAATTATGTTTACACCAAACCCCCATGACACACAGTTTACCCATGTAACAAACCTACACATGTCCCCCTTGAACCTAAAATAAAAGTTGGAAAGAAAAAAATTGGAAAGAAAAAAAAGGAACTTAAAGAGAAGAAAAAGATTGTATCTAGTAGTTTTACTAAGACTATAAAATTTCTGACGGCTCCACTACCTCCTCAAGATTGAGAACTAAACAACATGAGAAGCACAATTACATGCCAAAGATTCTTTTTGCTGTCTTCATTTGTAGCATCCCAGTGGAATGTCTTTGAAAAAAATTTTTTTTATCTGTATTATCTCACCTGCTCTGAGTATTGGTGACAGTGATATATGCATTGTGATTAGACGCCTAGCCTCCTGAATATAATGTATTTCCAGTATATTGTCCTTCTGAATAGCCTGTTTACAATTCTTTGAACATTGCCTGCCAATAATTTAGCAAATTGTTATTGAATGTCACAGCTTGATTATAGAACATAGTAAGAAATCAACAAATTGAACACCAAACTGAATTTAATGCTAAAAATTATCCTTTTAAAAAATAATGTATTACTAATTTTTACTCATGAAATTTAACATTTCCAATCATTGCTTAGTTGTTGACTCAACACTCAAAAATAATATATGCTACTTTTAAAATCCCAAAACCTCCAGATTTGTGTACTGCCACCAGGTGTTGACAGGTGCCTTGATTCTTCTAGTTTGTGGTTCCAGAGATAAGGTCAGGGTCCTGATACAGCAAAACCACCATTTGTCTTTGTTAAACTGAAATGAGAATGCGTTCCTTATTGGAAAGAAAAGTTACACGGTTTTATTATTATCATCAGTACTTAGAGAAGACTTAAAAAGTACAACTTAAAATGAACTCAAAGTTTCTGTGACTAGGAAATGATATGACTCAGGGAATTTAATACTTGGGATCCAAAACAAAGAAAACAAAATGACCCATAAAGAACCATGTTGTTTATGAGGGCAAACTATAGTAAGCAAACAATATTAACTTCAAATGAGCACTGGAGAAAAATCCTGATTCTTTAAAATTGTTTTTAATATTATTCTCTTAAACTTAGTGATACCCAAAAAAGAATCAAAATTTTGTGGAGAGGAATATAATAACTGGTTGTCTTATCTGTATTAACAGGATTTTGTAAAAGCATTATTATTTCTGTCAATTGATTTTTAAAACATCTATCAACTTTTTTTCTTTTGTGTATAGATATCAATGTATCTCATAGATTGCTTCCCTTTTTTAAATTAAAAAGTATAAATCTTTATAAAAATTAACTATAACTTTATGAAAGTATGTTTAAACTTGAGCAGATTTTGTAAAAATTTAATGTGTAGAACATGTGTTGTTTTCAGCAACAGCTTAATTTCTTTAGTCACTTAACCTTTTTTAGACTTTTGTTTTTAAAAATATTTCTTTTTTTCACTCTGAATCATACCTAGGAATCAAGTCTCTCTAGCCTTTGTAATATATTGAAAAGACTTGAAGGCCATTTTGCCTTCAAACTTTTTTCCAGGAGTTTGTCCTTAAACCTCTAACATCTTATAAGTTTCCTCATAGTTTTTCACATTTCTGTTTTATGTGTGCTTCCAATTAAGATGGTATTCTTCTGATTTCCTATTCCTGTGTCTTCCTGCTATGTGGAGTCTTCACAGATTTTTAGCAGCCAGGCCAGGAGATTGTATTCCTTCCTATATTGGCAGGTTGGATTCCCCCTGAATTAACTCTTCCATTCAGAGGCTGCCACCGTTCTAGTTCGTGTCTTGAAGAATTGTATCACCCTCCTAACTGATATTTTAACAATAGCTGCAAACTCCTTATTATATGACACTTAAATAGCATAAGAGCTCCTTTTGCAGCACCTGACATCTTTTGAGGTTTATAGATTTGTTCAAAATGAAGGATGTACAAAAATATTAAAAATTTAACTTTTTAAAACTTAGATTAAGATGGCTTTATGCCATGGTATGTTGCTATCTACTCCTCCCATTGTCTCTTGAGCCCACTGCATTCCAGCTTTAGTCCCTATCCTCGGAAACTGCTGTAGTCAGTCTGTGACTTTTGTGTTGCCAAATTCAGTTGTCGGTTCTAAGGTGTCAGTTTTACTTAATCTGTCAGCAGTATTTGACAGAGTTGGTCTTTCTTCCTAGAAACACATTCATTTGCCTGCCGGATATTTCCTGCCTTACTGGCTGCTGAATTCTAGTCTCCTTTCTACATCCTCATCTATTTGGTCATCTAGAAATGTCCTAGGGCTTTGGCCTCTTCTAGGCGTCACTCCCAAAGTGGTATTCTGCAGTCATGGAGAATGACACATCTGTAGGCATATGACTCCCAAGTTTCTCAGCACCTGATGTGATGTATACTTATTTGTTCATTCCCTCTCTCCTTTCTCCTAAATATAAACTCTGTGAGAATAGGGACTTTGTTCCTGTTCACCACTGTGTCTGCAATGCATAGAACAGTATCTAACACGTAATATATACTCATACTTTACATTGAATGATTTCTTAATTTATGGGTCATTCATCATTAATCTTGATCATAATAATGAATCAGCCGAAAACAGCACTTTTTTTAAGAAAAGTGTGTGTTATGTCTAGTTTATTTCAATAATACTAAGACAACTATCTCCTTACTACCTGAATTTATTTCAGCACAACCGATTAATTTTAATTGCTATGAGTTAAAAACTTTAAATACAGTGAGTTTTTTTAAATTCAGATAGAGATGTTTTTTAGCTTACTGCTTTTAAAAGACTGCAATTTAAAGGTTCTGTTAATTCTTCAAAAAAAGATAAATTAAGTGCTTCATTTTCCTGCATAGTAAATCATTGACGTTCCTAACATTTTTTCAATAACTTATAAATTTTCTTTGCTTTGTTTGTGTTGTGACACGTTGTGTAAATGAGATTTGATATCAGAAGTAGGATCTACAAAACAAACACTAAATACTGGGGTTAGTACTAACGTTTTCACTGAAGATGGACCCAGAAAAGTAGCCAAACACAGTGTCACCCCGAGTCCATTCTGAGATACATACTGGAAAATTATAGTAATCGGTTCATTCAGGAAACCAAGTGACAATAGGTTAAGCCATGAGTAATATAAGTAATATAAGTAACATTTCTTTATCTTCCACTATTAAAAAAAAACTTGTAAATCTTTATTTAAATGAACACCAAATTAAAGAAAACTGAGCCAAAGAAATGTAAGTCTAAAATGAAATGCTCAATTTTGATTTATCAGAGATATAAGCCTTACTAAGTTTTAAGTTAACAAATTTGGACCTTAACACATATTAATCTAAATTAATTAATTCGACCTTTGTTTTCAGTTTTAGAGAAATGTAAACTTGTTCAAAAATATAGCAGAATATAAACTATTTAAAATAACAGTTTATACTTGCATACCATTTGAAATGCTTTGTTTTTGCTTGTGTTCTCTGCTAAATTTTTTTTCCATTGAATCTGTGCTGCTTCTTTGCCAATGTTTTCCACTGTAGAATCTCCATCTCGCAACCTTGCTTCTCGTGAGCGCATTTACAAAAATTATGGTGTAGCTGGGCCTGCCTCTGCTCTCTCATCTCTGTCTCACAAACTGAAGGGTGGGTATACATGCATTCATGGATGGGCCATTCTTAATGAACATAAGGAGTGTCATTAAAGATGTTTCCGTTCGTCTCAGTCATGTTCATGCCATTCCATTTTTTTAATTAAAGTTTATCATTTTATTTACATTTATATATGTTTGAGTAATTTATGATGCTCCTATTCAGTATTATAATATAGATTATCCCAGTAGCTATGCATGTTTATTACATCTATAGGTTAAACATTACTCTTACTTAATTTTAAAACTTTATGAGATCATTAAAATTAAAATAGGTATAAGGAAAGAATTACCTAATTGGGGGAATTTTTGAAATCATTTTTATCAGAAAAAGATGATATATGTGCAAGGCATAAAGCACATTTTTTAGTCTTAAACTTATTGTTATATAATATAAAAATCATTTTACTATTTTAGTCTTTTATGAGAAACACTGATAATGAACTTAAAGTTTTTAAGTTTAAATTAGTTATTAGGACTCATGTGTCTATTTATATTTATATGTAAACCTACCTGTCCTATCTGGCATAAATTTTTCTAATATTGTTTTCCTAGTGACTAAGTTTTAATATTTTAAACTTAGAAATGTTTAAACTATTGACAATTGACAAAATTTCAGACAATTTAAAAATATGTTTTTGGTTTTTTGAAACACTACAGATGCCTACTTAAATATTTTGTCTTAAAGTATTATTTAATTAAATTTAAATCTTGTAAATCTTTTAAAATCTTGTATTTAAATAAAATTTTATCAAAAAGAACTTTTACAGCAATGCCTAACATATTGTATAAGTTTTTCAACTAATTACTGATTTTCTTTTTTTCTTAGAAATAGATAAAACAGCTATATGTTTCTCATTATACAATTGACAGTATAAACATATAAATAGGAAATATAAAAATATACTAAATAGTATTGTACAACCTGTGCTATATAGTATATAGTATTGTGTGTAATAGCATATAGTATCATGTAACCTGATATATGCTATATATCATGCCATGTGATATATGCATATAGTATTATGATATAGTATGATCCTGATAATTTAAGATTTGGGCATGAAAAAATGTATGGGTCATTTAGTGAATGAATGCTTACCATTTAACATGTTTAGTAACATTTAACTTGCTTGCCCTAAGTTTCTATCCTGTCATTATTATTTCTTCAGGTTTCCTTTAAAGTTAGAAAAATGTTTGCATATTATCATTTAAATGTAAAAGTACAGTCATTAAATAAATTAGGAGATGAATGTGAAAGTATTACGTATAGTCTGAAGATTTTTAGCAAACTGTTTATATTTGTTGGTATTTTGAGCAGCCACAACATACAATTTTTAGTAATATTTAATAACATGCTGCAAAACATTTGAAACACAAATGAAGCAGATAAACATAAATTAGCACAGGGGCTTACCCCACTTAACAAGCATAGTTTTTTTTAATATATAAAATACGTTTTGGAAAAATAAATTTTTCAAAAAGATTTAGTTATCATTTGAGAAATACATCTGAAAAAGAAATATTTCTGCCATTATTTGTATGCCTAAACTTCAACAGGTATTTAGCTGTCACCACTTACAGATCTTAAGAAAATATTCACCACTATTAGAGATATAATAAGATATACAAATGCCTATTCTTTCTAACACTATGTAATAAACTTTTTTGCTCACATATGACAAGTGGTGTTCCTGGTATTTGGCAGATTCCATTTTTCAGGCAACCACAGAGGTTGTTTTCATGATGAGTAAATAACCTACCATTGTAAGTTCATATGCATTCCTAGAATAGAGGTAGCATCAGCAGGTATTCACCATTCCTTTGCATGCAGCTGTTGTGCAGGTCAACCACTAAGACACATCTGACACAGGGAGTAGGTAATCTTTGTCACGAACCCTTCCTATTTGTTAGAAATCCTACACAAGTTGTCCTTTTTTATAAATTAGAGAGAAAACCTCTTTCAGTTTACAGATGGATTTTTTGGAGAAAGGGATACCAAATATAAAAGACTTACTAATTGTTTGTCTAGATTCCCATTATGTGTGGTTCAGTTTCTGAAATAAATGTGATGATAAAGGTGATAAACATGTCTCCAGCTGTCAGATTAATAACAAAAAACAAGTATTCCAAACATCACATACTCAAAATTAATGGCCATGACTACTGATTTAATCTACCAAATATAATTTGTTTACCAAATTTGCCATATGCTGTTACTAGGTCAGTAAGATTAGATGGGTAGCAATTTTTTGAACTACTTTTGAACAGTTTAAGGGTACTTATTCATAGATCACATCTGTTTATCTGTGCTCTCCCAAGACAGCATTGATAGTTAGAATTCTAAATTGGGATTTTTTTAACCCTTTTTTCAAAACTTAGCCCCATCTGTTAATACTGTATTTATAAAACAGAGCACATAATATGATAAAGGAGGTTAATGATTGAATAATGAAGCTTTGCAAGAAACTAAAAAGCATTATGTTTTAGTTACTTTTATTCATCCAAAGAACAGGAAAAATTATCTTAAATATTGGCATGTTGCAATTAAACATTTAGTTCATCAGTGTGCCCTGTATAAAGTACTTGCCATACTCTATTATTTCACCATGTAATTACTCAGTTTGCAAGCATCTAACCCTTGCACATCAATAACTAATGTCACCTCTGTCCTGTGGCCTTGGGAGCCTTAATTGTAAAAAGTAGACTTCTGGAGAAGCTGAATACTTGGGAGTAGCAGAAGAAAAAAATCAAGAAAATTGGAATATATTACTCATTCAACACATATTTATTGAATACCTACTGTATTCCTGGATTCATTCTTGGTATTACATCAGTGAAGAGTAACAGACAAAAATACCTGCCCTTGACAAAGACTGGGGCAGATTCTCCAGCACTACTGTCCTGAGCCATAGAGAAATAGAGCGTGACTATACACACTTAACACATGCACGGAAGCATAAAAAACATTTTCCTACATCATCTGAATTTGTTCACATCCTTTTTTCTTTTAAAAAATAATAACATGCAGTTATAGCCAGTTAACAAATCTACCTTAATTTCCTAGGAACTGTCTTTGAAAAAATATAAATACTTCCAGATAGGTTTATGGATTTTCAGTTTTTTATACCACTTGAAACCCTTCAGTCAGATTGCTTTTCTCCTAACAACTAACTGGTATCACTTGCACTAAGAGTAGAAGTTTTTATTTTAAGGAGGAAAGGTGATGTTGAAGTTTGTACCATTTACTTGGGTCACAGACAGCCTGGCTCTAATGCCTCAAAGAAAAGCATAAAATAGAATGAAGGAGAGACACTGAATGAAGGCAGGGTGCTAAAAACAATTAATGTCCATGCAGAAACATCTAATGCTTTGCCTTAGAAAAGGGAGGTGATTCTTCTTTTCATCCTGTTTTTCTGTCATTCTCCTGACTCCTTGTTTTGAGGGTCCACAGTTCAGACTTTTACCACTCATTCTGAGGATCCACCGTTTCTGTGGTTTCCAAGGGAACACAGGCTCTGAGTTCTAAGCAGCTAAGCTTCCTGAACTTTTGGAGTGTAACCTGTTTATAAATAATTAAATAACAGCTTCAGGGCATTCATGTGCTCATTGTAAACTAGTCTAATCTGATCATAAAACAGAGTGCCTCTTAAGCAACTCTTTGTTAGCCTAATTGTATGCATACACTTAAAAATTATAATTGTGTCTATGCATAAATTCAGTTCTCTAATTCAACAAAACCCATACCGTTGCCCTAAGGATGCGAGGTATCACTCTGCTGGAAATTTAGCTCTACTCTACATTTAAAATACAAGTTTTCACATTAAATAATTTCTTATTCCCCAAAAGATTAATTTCTGTCTCTTTCTAGTCCCTCACTGAATTTAAATTCTAACTAGTTATTGCACTAGGGCAGAGGTTGAGATATCACTGATAGTTCACACTGGATTTGTTCAACCTGTTGTTTTGCGTCCATGAAAATAGTTTTTGGTGGTAATGTTGTGTAATGATGTGTAGAAATTTTATTAGAAATATTTCCCCCTTCTTTCCTTTATTCTTCAAGTATTTTAGTATGTATGACAAACAATATAAATTTTGTAGCTATGTTTTTTTATTTCAGTGTTTAGTGGCTAAATTATCAGTAAGTTATAATTTTATTAATAAGTTTCACTGTAAAATGGACCATACAGGTGATCGAGGAAACATCTCAACATCTTCTAAACCAGCCTCTACATCAGGAAAATCAGAGCTGTCCTCTAAACACAGCAGATCGCTTAAACCTGATGGACGTATGAGCCGGACTACTGCTGATCAGAAGAAGCCAAGGGGCACAGAAAGTTTATCTGCTAGTGAATCCCTCATCTTAAAATCTGATGCTGCAAAGTTGAGGTCAGATTCCCACAGTAGGTCATTATCCCCCAACCATAACACCTTGCAGACATTGAAATCTGATGGGAGGATGCCTTCTAGCTCCAGAGCTGAATCCCCAGGACCAGGTTCTCGGTTGTCATCTCCTAAGCCAAAGACTCTCCCAGCCAATAGGTCTAGCCCATCGGGTGCTAGTTCTCCACGCTCCTCCTCACCACATGATAAAAATCTACCTCAAAAAAGTACTGCTCCTGTTAAGACAAAGCTTGATCCTCCTCGGGAACGTTCTAAATCAGACTCTTACACACTTGATCCAGATACCCTCCGCAAGAAGAAAATGCCCCTCACAGAACCTTTGAGAGGACGGTCAACGTCACCAAAACCAAAATCAGTACCAAAGGATTCTACAGATTCCCCTGGATCTGAAAATAGAGCTCCCTCTCCCCATGTGGTACAGGAAAACCTCCACAGTGAGGTGGTCGAAGTCTGCACCTCAAGTACTTTAAAAACAAATAGTCTAACAGACAGCACCTGCGATGACAGCAGTGAATTTAAGAGTGTGGATGAAGGTTCAAATAAAGTTCATTTTAGCATTGGAAAAGCACCACTGAAAGATGAACAGGAAATGAGAGCATCTCCCAAAATAAGTCGAAAATGTGCTAATAGACACACCAGGCCCAAAAAAGAAAAATCGAGTTTTCTTTTCAAAGGAGATGGATCCAAGCCTTTAGAGCCAGCCAAGCAAGCCATGTCTCCTTCTGTGGCCGAATGTGCCAGAGCTGTGTTTGCTTCCTTCCTCTGGCATGAAGGCATAGTACATGATGCAATGGCTTGTTCTTCTTTCCTAAAGTTTCATCCTGAACTTTCCAAAGAACATGCTCCTATAAGGAGTAGTTTAAATAGCCAACAACCTACAGAGGAAAAAGAAACCAAGTTAAAAAATAGACATTCATTAGAAATATCATCTGCACTGAATATGTTTAATATTGCACCCCATGGACCAGATATATCTAAGATGGGTAGCATCAACAAAAACAAGGTATTGTCTATGCTTAAGGAACCACCTCTGCATGAAAAATGTGAGGATGGGAAAACCGAGACCACTTTTGAAATGTCCATGCATAACACAATGAAGTCTAAGTCTCCTCTTCCCTTAACTTTACAACATTTAGTGGCTTTTTGGGAAGACATCTCTTTGGCTACTATCAAAGCTGCTTCCCAGAATATGATTTTTCCAAGTCCTGGTTCCTGTGCAGTTCTTAAAAAGAAAGAGTGTGAGAAAGAGAATAAGAAGTCCAAAAAGGAAAAAAAGAAAAAAGAAAAGGCAGAAGTTAGGCCCAGGGGTAATTTGTTTGGAGAGATGGCCCAGCTGGCAGTAGGAGGACCAGAGAAAGATACCATCTGTGAACTGTGTGGGGAGTCACATCCATACCCGGTGACCTATCACATGAGACAAGCTCACCCAGGTAAATGATACTGTTGAATGTACGTATAAGTGCTTTTTTCTTTAATGAACCAGATCACTTTATTTGAGCTGTTCTATGAATTTTGTCAAAGGATAGGGAATTTATAGTATCTTAGAATGTCATTTTTAAAGTACATTATCAGTACAGGGTTTTGTGAAAAACAGATAAATTCTAATATTATGATGGCCAGGTCATTTAGTGCTATTTCACTTTCATGTAGCATGTTTTAAAAAATATTATGTGTTACCCAAAGGGTGTGCCATTAATGTGTCTGTCTCACACAGCAGAAACAGTGGCATGCCCATACACACAGGGCATCTCCTTTGATTTTACTATTTTCCTGTTCAGAATTGCAAATTAAATTAGATTAGATTGATTTCTATAGGCTTTTTCCTACGGAAGTGATATTGTTTTATCAGAAGACTGCATTTTCAGTAAATGTAATGATTTCTGTAACATTGACTAATATTCCAAATTCACCTAATACAAATTTGGTTAATTTTTTTCTTTGTCTACATATTATACCTCAAATGTCTTATGAATATGTGATTTCTGAAAATATATCATTGTTATAGAACTTTTATACTTGTATTGTCTAATTTTATTGACATAATTAAGTATATCTAAATATACCTATATTCTATCTCTCTTTTAATATGCCTGATTAGAAACTAAGTATCTCTCATATTTGGGGCATCATTTAATTGATTGCTTTTTGATCAAGTAAGCTATTTTTCTGATATAGTTAATAGCCTGAAAAATAAGATATCTACTTCAGTATTTTGCTTTCTTTGAGAAGGTAAATCTGTCATTAATGTATGAGTAATAAGGATCAAACTATTAAGGACACTTGGAGTGTTAAATATTTATTTTTGGTATTGTTTCAAGGTTGTGGCCGATATGCTGGTGGACAAGGTTACAATAGCATTGGGCATTTTTGTGGAGGATGGGCTGGTAACTGTGGTGATGGTGGCATAGGAGGAAGCACTTGGTATCTGGTATGTGATCGCTGTAGAGAAAAATACCTCCGCGAAAAACAGGCTGCTGCAAGGGAGAAGGTATTTTATTCCATTTGGAGCTATACTTTTAATGATATGGATACACTGTATAAAAATACCTTGTTATAATCTTACTACATCAGATAATTCCACATAGTTGATATTAAAAGATCAGCTTTTATAATGGAAATCATATACAAATTTAATATTTGTACTAAGTCAAATGCTTTTAATTTTAAAAATTAACTATATATTGGAATAACACTAGATAACCTCTGCTACATATGCCTTATTGACAAATATTTGTTGTGTAACTCTTTATTATTAATTGTCTGTTATTCTCTCTATGGAGAGCTTTCCTTTTCACCTTCTTTCTCTTTTCCTCTTTTTTTGGCTCCTTTGTTTTCCTATTCCATATCTACTCTCTCTTTTCTTTATTCACTCTAGTGGCACCTAACTAAAAAATTTCACTGAATACACGCACTGAAATGATTTACTTTTTAAAAAAATGAATTACATTTAGATTTAACTAGTTAGGTGTTAAATTTTTCTGAAGAAGGAAAGGAAGTATAGTTTGTGTTTGATACAAAATTGTCTTGGTCAGCCCAGGATGAATATGAAATGAATGTTGTTTTTTATAATCTTATTATCTTAAAATAGCTTTACAAGTGTTTAATAATTTTTATTGGAAACTCAAAATACTTAGCTTAAGAAACTAAGGATTTTAATGTAAGTCAGAAAAGATTAGTTTGATTTTTTTCTTCGCCAGGTCAAACAATCTAGGAGAAAACCAATGCAAGTCAAGACCCCTCGTGCCTTGCCCACCATGGAAGCTCACCAGGTGATTAAAGCCAATGCACTCTTCCTGCTGTCCCTGAGCAGTGCAGCAGAACCGAGCATTCTGTGTTACCATCCTGCAAAGCCATTCCAATCTCAGTTGCCCAGTGTAAAAGAAGGCATTTCTGAGGATCTTCCTGTGAAAATGCCTTGTCTCTACCTGCAGACATTAGCTAGGTAATAAAATTTTGCTGTTGTTTTTTAATCACCTTTGGATTAACAGCGATTGTTTATTGATATCTAGGGTAGTTCGGTATTTGACCTACACTTTATTAGCTATTGTGTACTATAAACAAACTTCCAGGCATTTATTTTTTGAGTTGCCTTGACTGACATAATGACTTTATGGTAATAGGTATTTAAAAAACTATAAAAATGCTTCATCAATTTGCATTGTATTAATACACAACATGTCTTAGAAAATAAGACTATAGCTATCTTTTACTCTTTGGTAGGCTGACTTCACTCTGTTAGTGCGAAATGCTGAAGTGTAAAGAAAGTGTGTTTCCTTAGCAGTCTTTTATTTCGTAAATTATTCATTCTGTTAGCATTTAAATGAATACCAACTGGGCACCTACCAGCCTTGTGCTAGGCCCTGAATGTATGAATATAACAAAATCCTGGCTTCTATGTACTCATACTCGGATGTCAAGTCAGACATGTTAGTGAAACATTTGAAATGCCATGTGAGGAGTGCTACAATAGAAGTATGTATGTAAGATGCTGTTAGAGCATAAAAGATGGAGAGTATCTGAATCTTCCCCAGGAAATCAGAAAAGGCTTCCCAGAGGGTCTGAGCCTTTAGTAGAGTCTCAAAGGATAAATAGAAATCTGTCAGGCAAGCGACAGGAAGAAAGCGACTCTTGGAAGAATAACCCAGGTGAGTAAAGACACAAATGAAATCTCATTACACATTTCAGGAATCACGGGTTGTTAAAGGACTGGCTACTGGAGGAAATATGTGAAAGCCCGTTCAAAGTGATTGGTTCACCCAAGTAATGTCGGGCTCTGTAGCCCAGGTTAAGATTGCATTTTATCCCATGAGCAGAGGAAACAGTGGAAGAATTTTAAACAGAGAAATACATGAACTGGTTTGCAATTAAAAAATCACTGTGGAATGTGGAAGCTAATGTGGAGACTAGATAAAAGTGCATTACTGGAGATAGAAACCTGTTAGTATTCTGTTTTCATATATTGGACCTCAGTGGTGCAGCCTGTACTTTCACACATCATGCACTGACACTCCAAAAGAGCCTTTCATATACCAAAACCAAATTTTTTTCATCAGCTGACAAATGAAGGTAATCTAGATATTGCCCACTGACATGGCTTGCCGACCAACAGTTCCATTTTGGAAATTGTCCTCTTTGTGTAGCAGAGTTGTATGGTTTTTAAAATTTTGTGCTTACTATTACAATAAAATGAATAAGCAACAAAAATGAAAATATCAGACTAAGTACATTTGAGACTGAGGTGGAAATCATCAGTATGCCAAAATACAATAGATCTTTAGTGTGAATCACACCACTCAGTGGACTTAGGTTAGCAACTATTTGTTCATTTTGAAAAGGAAAGAATCAAATTGTAAAACGTGAAAAATGCTAACACAGCATAATTATAGATTTTTTTCTTTTTAGCTGTCTGGGGAATGGGCACCCCTTCCACCCTGAACCACAGAAAATTTCATATATCTAATATTTTTCAAATATGATCTTATGTATGTTCCTACCCAAAAAAGTAACTGCTTGTATTTCAGTGGTCTGTGCAAGAAATAATAAGCATGAACCAAGGCAGTGATGATAGGGAATGAGAAGAGAGAATGGCTCTGAGAGGAAACCTAATATCATGGGCTTGAAAGATGATGATGATAGAGGGCTAAGCCTACTACAACACTGGAAATATTTTAGCTTAAGCAACTGGATGGTTGGTGGGCTTATTCACCAAAACACTGGAAGATGGAAAAGTTCTCAAAAGGAAAGAAACTGAGTTCAATTTTGGATTTGAAATGTTCGTGGTACCTGGAATGTTGATGAATAAAATTATCAGACTTTTATTTTCACCTACCTACATCTACGATTATTTTAATGCTTTGCCTTTAACTATGATTTACATGTGCTGCTTTTCCTGTTATGAAAGAGATTAAAAATGGAGAGGATCTGTATTGCCATCATGCTTTAAGTTATTGGGTTTGATTTAATGCAGGCATCATCATGAAAATTTTGTGGGCTATCAAGATGACAATCTATTCCAGGATGAAATGAGATATCTACGTTCAACATCTGTACCTGCCCCGTATATATCAGTAACTCCTGATGCAAGTCCTAATGTATTTGAAGAGCCAGAGAGCAATATGAAGTCTATGCCACCAAGGTATTTTAGTTCTCTCCTGTCTGTTGAATAGCTAGTGTTTGGTGGAAGAAAGACTTTGAACTAGAAAAGAGTCCTGTAGAAGTTCTTTAATACATCTGTGAGCCAGTTTTGCTAACTGCTGGAGCAGTAAGAAAAAGCATACATGTATGACTAAGGTAAGGTCCTTGATGGGAGAGGCAGACTAGTTGGAGAGAAGAGATCAACTAGTGAAGGAATTAAAGATTACATTATATGACATTACTTAATGCTGTAGTAAATCAGAGTAGGGAAGGGTTACTTTGAGTTTTCATGGGAGCAGTGGCATTGAAAATAAATCTTAAACTTCTTGGATTATTGTTTACAGTGCCTCCTAACTTAGGTATGGTAGTATCAGAGTAAAGAGCTTCTCGGAAAGCTGAATAGAAACTTGTTACAATAATGTAATACACAAGAAAATAGAGGCCAGGCGCTGTGGCTCACACCTGTAATCCCAGCACTTTGGGAGGCCAAGGCGGGTGGATCACCTGAGGTCAGGAGTTTGAGACCAGCCTGACCAACATGGTGAAACCCTGTCTTTACTAAAAATACAAAAAATTAGCCGAGCATGGTGACACACACCTGTAATCCCAGCTACTCGGGAGGCTGAGGCAGGAGAATTACTTGAACCTGGGAGGCAGAGGTTGCAGTGAGCTGAGATTGCACCACTGAACTCCAGCTTGAGGAAAAAAAAAAATAGAGTACCACTGAAACTTTTTTAGAGGACGAATGATGTGATAAAAATGCAAAGGTAGTCTCACAGTGACAATTGAGAAGCTGACATATGGATTAAAGAGATATATTTTGTAGGAAAAATAAGTGTGACTTGTTGACTAACTGGATAATGAAAAAGATAAGTTTAAGATGACATGAAGATTTCAGTCACGAATAACTGTGAACATGGTATCATTGGAAAGGAAGACATTTGCTGAATGAAAAGAGAATGTGCTTATTAAAAGAGCATGCCACTGTGTTACTACTATACAACTATAATTATAAACTAATATAATAAATACTTTAATGAGCGCAATGGGACATATATATCCAAATGAGGTTTTTTTTTTTTTTCATTAAAAATACATGCAACTTCTCCCCTCCCCAACTGTGTGGATTACTCGTCAGAATTTCTTTGAAGCTGCTCTTGACATTTTCTCCAGAGTGCAGTGCAACCTTTTATATCTTTAAAAGTGATAAAGTATTTCTAAAGGAGATACACTTTTTAAAAGAGTTAGAAACTGTTTTGAGGCTAGTCTGACAAGTGTGATTCTCATTGGGTTACTATTACCCCTTAGGATCAAAATCCAGGAGGCTGAGGCAAGAGGATGGCTTCAGCCTAGGATTTTGAGGTTACAGTGAGCTACGATTGTGTCACTGCACTTCAGCCTAGGTGACAGAGCAAGACCCCTTCTATTTAAAAAAAAAAAGTTGATGAATAAATGAATTCATTAAATCAGTGGTTCTCAATTGAGGGTGATATTTGCCTCTCTGTTGACATCTGGAAATATTTGGAAATAACTTTGTCACAACTGGGCTAGTTGAGTGGGCATCCTAGTGAGTTGAGGCCAGGGATGTTGCTAACCATCCTACAGGAGGCAAGACAGCCTAACAAGGAATTACCTGGCTCAGGGTAGCCATTCAATTAAAGATGTCATCTTTGCTTTCTTCTTTGGATTTTCTTGTGTTGCTTGAATTCTTTCACAAGCAATTTTTTTTTTTTTTTGGTAAAAAGTCACTTTTTAAATTTGTGTAATTTTTTTTAAGTTAGTAGAAAACTTCCTCTGAAAACAGAACAAATGTCTGTGCTTTATAGTAACACCATATATAAAGTGAATTAAGTTAATGTTTCCCTGTATTCTAGTCATTCTGGAACCAAGCAACCTATACTAACACCCAGGGACATTTACTGCCAATCAGTTATGTACAGTATTTATAGTCTATTCAAACAAGAATGTACATAAGCTTAGAGAAGTGGTGAGTAAAGAAAACACCTAGGCAGTTAGCCGTCTATTAGAAAATAGATAATTTTACCAAGGGACACAGGATTTCAAACCTGGCTTGAATGATGGAAAAAACTCCAGAACCAACGGTGAGCAAAAATATTCCAATTTGAATTCAGGTGACAGAAAAAGGAGCTCACGAAAAGAATAGTTTCTAAATTTGTTTTAGAGAAATAAGAAAGAGAAGGGATTTCTCTTTTTTTATAAAATGTGTCAATAAAGGAAATTGTATAGCTCTCTTAATAACTTTGTAAGTATTTTTAAATGTTGCTTTAATAAATAGAAAAGCTGTTAGTTTACTTAAGCCTGAATAAAACCATTAAGTTCTTTTATAGAGTGTAAATACAACACTGGTGCCAAAAATCAGTTTGTTACCTCTCATGACACCTTGATGCAGCCATCCTCCAAGGGCTTTGGGCAACATTTCCCAAGAGTGAGAAACCTCACAGAACACTGAAGACACCAAAAGAAAACTTTGGAACCAAATTTTGCTTCCTGTTTTATTAGGTTTTCATGTGTACATATCCATTTTCTTTCTATTTGGTGCACTTACGATTATATCTGACTGTTTTTCCTGAATATTATGATACATGAATTCCACCCCAGTGCTTTTGATTCTAAAAGGAGCTTGGAAACCTTTCTTCTTTTTCATTTAAAATACAAAGTAGATTTAAGAAAACCATAAGTTTTAAGGTACAATGCTGAAATCAGTCAAAATGTTACTGCATTTGAAAAGATCAAATTATGATTTAAAGAGAGATTATCAATTTGGCTTTGATTTTGTTTCTCCACATGAAATATTGAGTCACATATTTTGCATCATTATAAGTATAGTTACATTTCATTCAGCTCTTCTGAGTTTGTATCTGTTGCATTGTTCCATGTACAGTTTAGAAACCAGTCCCATAACTGATACTGATCTTGCAAAGAGAACTGTCTTCCAAAGATCATACTCAGTTGTTGCTTCCGAATATGATAAACAACACTCCATTTTACCTGCACGAGTTAAAGCTATTCCTAGAAGAAGAGTTAACAGTGGAGACACTGGTAAGTATGAGGATAAAAAAGAATATTGAGTGATCTGACTACTACAAATAAAAAAATTGTTTTATTTGCATATAATTTTTAAAATTTAATTTTTGAAGGAAAAGGCATGGGATAATTTCTAATGTGTGATTGACATTCCTTCTATATGACATAGCTATAAATGTGCATCTCTAAATTTTGCATCTTAGTTGAAGGGAAATCTGGAGATCATTCAGTGATTGTTCGAGAATAAATTGACCTTTACAATCTTACTTGTTAGGTATCTAAGCCAAATGTTACAACCATTATCCCTTCCACTAAACTTTTGTGGACCAGGAGTTCCAATGACGTACACATTCACAGTTATCTCTCCACCCCAACTGAAGCTTGATAACTCTTGGAGCTGCCATCATTCTAAGTAGATAATAAAACTTTGGGGATATAAATAGCCCTTAATCGATTTAAAAAAAAAAAAAAAACAGTTACATGATCTGGACCAGTTGGTATCAACAGCCCCAAATTGGAGCTGGGGATTCTACCTCAAGAATAATTTTAAAAACCCAAGAAGAACAGGGTAATATAGTGATCAATTATCAGAGAGATCACTTGCTAAAATGAAGATTTGGCCTAAAAATTATAGTCAGATGATTAAGTTATCTTACTGAAGACTTTTAAGAAAAACATTATTGAAGATTGTCCAGCAATTTATAGGTTCATTCAACAAATATTTTTGACCTCCTGTTAAGAAATGTTTCTTATAAAGCCATCTTTTAGAAAATGATGCAGATGAGATGTAGATTTCATTTAGAGAAAATATAAATCACTTAGCTTTTAGAGTGTTTTAGAAAAGGTGAACTTTAGATTCAGCTCTGATTCAAAACCCACCTCTACAACTTAATAGCTATATGACTTTCAGAGAGTAACATATTTAATCTTTCTGAACCTTGGTTTCCTCAGTAAAAGTTGAAATTGTTATGATTTGTGTCATGTTCAAAAAACCAATGACAAAGGCTTTAAGTGAATATATTAGATATTATTATCTTAAATATATATGCACTGCCTATGAAAATTAATAATTTTCTTTTTCTTTAATAGAAGTTGGTTCTTCCCTTTTGAGACATCCGTCTCCTGAGCTTTCTCGGCTAATCTCAGCCCACAGCTCTCTTTCTAAAGGAGAACGAAATTTCCAGTGGCCAGTTTTAGCTTTTGTTATACAACATCATGATCTAGAAGGTCTTGAAATAGCAATGAAACAGGCCCTAAGGAAATCTGCTTGTCGAGTTTTTGCTATGGAGGTATGAAGACATTAATGAAATTACTGATTCATTGATTATACAAATCATGTGATGATTCTATTTCACGATGCCACTTTTTTACCAACAGAAATTGTGTGAAATTAAAAGGCATTAGCCAATTAAAAGTATTAAGTGTTCCTATAAAAATCAGACTCTAAAGTTTATGAATATAAATGAATTTAGAATTTCATATTTAAGCACCCTAAAGAAATTTATTTCTGTATTGCTTTACTATTTGAATCTTGAGATTATCTTTTTTTTAAAAGCTTTTTATACTCAGAATGTCATTTTATTAGAATGAAATGACAGAGTAATCATGGAAAGAAGATAAGGAGTAGGGCTTTTGAGTGGTAAGTTGACCAGTAATAACTTCTCTGGGCCTTTGGTCTCTGGAAATAATAGGATTACTGTATATTACAGGCCTATATATAGTAAATCTGTGTTTTTATCAAATGTGATAAATAACCTACCACTTCATGGATGGGAATTATATGAATATATTTAAGTAAATGGTTGCTTGCCTAGAGCTTGAGATACACTTTGTGTTCATCCAGATGCAAGTTGGAAAAAATGTGCTTGAATAAATTAATATTAAAATGAATTTTCAAAGTAAAATGTGATTTGAAAAAATATTTTGGTATTGTATCTTATAAATTATTTTTCCTGTTTTTTTTAAATTAAAACCCCAAATTATTAACTGTTTCAAGTTCCGTGTGCTTTCAGTGAAATAAAGGTCAGATTTTCAAGGTGCCAAGCATAGTAGCCCATGCTTGTAATCCTAGCACTTTGGGAGGCGGAGGAGGGAGGATCACTTGAGCGCAAGAGTTTGAGACCAGCGTGGGCAACATGTGAGACCTCATTTCTACAAAAAAAAAGTTTTAAAATCAGCTGGGTGTGGTGGTACACACCTGTAGTCCCAGCTACTTGGGAGGCTGAGGTGGGAGGATCATTTGTGCCTGGGTGCTTGAGGCTGCAGTGAGCCATGATCACACCACTGTACTCCAACCTGGGTGACAGAGCGAGACACTGTCTCTTAAAAAGAAAAACAAATAGTAAAACTATAAGGCATTTTTTTTAATTAAAAAAGATTTTCTAGTATCTTTCTTTGAAGTCTTAATCCATGGAGGTACTTTATTTCTGAGTACTTTTTAAACTCATGTATTTTATTCTTGAACTCATTTAACCGTCATTTCTTCAGGCTTTCAACTGGCTTCTGTGTAATGTCATCCAAACCACTTCTCTCCATGATATTCTGTGGCATTTTGTGGCATCACTGACTCCTGCACCAGTGGAACCAGAGGAAGAAGAGGATGAAGAAAATAAAACAAGCAAAGAAAATTCAGAACAAGTAAATGAAATTTTTGTTTTGATTGTGCATATTTTTATAGAAACTGGTAGTATACCTTCAAATAGTCCAATAATTTGCATGAAATCATTCGCAGATCTAACTTGAAAGCAAAAAGAATATTTTAGTGCTATGGGCAAAGTATTAATAATGAGACCTGGATTTTATAGAAGGCAGCCTGTATAATGGAGAGAGCATTGAATTAGGGCACTAGGAGCCTGAGTTCAGCCTCATTTCTACCCTATTGTAGTTGTATGACTTGTAGGCCTCGGTTTCCATGTCTGTAAAATGAAAGTAATCTAGGTGACATTTATCTTATTCCCAGTCACTCTGAAATTATGTGAATGGCATTTTAGGTTAATTTCCAAGGATATCAAGCAACATTATCATAGTCAAATTCTTAAAACTCACAAACAAGACACCATGAGCAAGAACTAACAAAAACAATAGACAGTAGAAATAGACCCTCAACAATGGTTGTAATTATCTATGTAAATGTAGAATAATGTGTTAATATGCTTAAAGAAATAAAAGAGAAACTTTAAAATATGAGAAGAAATTGTAAGAAGAAATATGAAGTGATGAATTTGATAAAGAACTAAAGAAAACATAAATACTAATCTAAGTATAATTGATATTTTTAGTTTTGAGATTTTATAGCATGTCAGTGAAAAAATTGGCTAAATATAAGAGAATGATGGATTCGATAAAGAACTAAAGAAAATACGTAAAAATTAATCTAAGTATAATTGATATTTAAAAAACAATCAGTTGGACATTTTATAGCATGTCAGCAAACAAATTGGTTAAATATAAGAGACCTGTAGAAATTATCTAGACTTCAACACAGAAAAAGTAAATAAAAAATACAAGTTGCTAAGAGCAATGAAGGGCAAAATGATGTACAACTTACCTACTTGGAGTTTCAGAAGGAGAAGACAGAATGGAAGAGAGACAGTGTTTAAGAGTTAATACTTGAGAATTTCCCAGAATTGATTACAGATAACAACCCATTGAGTCAAGAAGCCCAGTAAACCCCAAGCAGAATAAATACAAATCATGGTGGACAAATTATAGTGAATCACCTGAACACCAAAAACAAAGAAAGAGATCTTTTAAGCAGCCACAGAAAAAAATATTAGCTTTCAAAAGAGGGACAGTGAGAATAATTGCTTAATTTTTGGTAGCAACATTACAAGTTAAAATACTGAGTTTGTTTAAAAGGCTGTCAGTTGGTTTTTTTCAACGTGCTGAAAGAAAATACTTGTTAACCCAGTTGAAGGGTCTTTGAAGAACAAGACCAAAGACATTTCCAGAATAAAAACTGGGAGAAATGGCCATGGAGTATCAATGAAGAGAAAAGAAAGTGTAAATATGAGGGCATATCTTAAAAAACATTGACTATGTAAAAAGTAATGATATGTCATGGTGATGTACAAAATGATAAAAGATCAATCCTGGATATGTATCTACCTAATACTGTAACCTTAAAAAAAGTAACAATTGACAGACTGCAAGGAAAAATAGGACAGTCTACAGTTACAATGTGAGATTGTCATATACCTGTAACAGCTATCTGTTCCTGCATAACTACCCCAGAACTCACTGGACTAAAACAGTTGTTTATTTGCTGACAGTCTGTGGGTTGGCAATTGCAGCAAGGCTCCACTGAGAGGAATGACTCTTTCCTGTTTTGGTTACATAGTGTGCTTCAAGTGGTACCCCCTGAGCTCTTTTATCCTCCAGAATGCTGGCCTAGGTTTGTTCAGATGCCAGAAGCATTCAAGAAAGAGAGCACAGAAGCTGCAAAGCCAAAATGGCGAACACTAAACTCATATGCCATGCTTCTGCCACCTTCCATTAGCTAGTATAATTCACAAGGCCGGTCAAATTCAAAGACTGAGAAATAAACTCCACCTGTTGATGGAAAGAGCGACAGAGAATTTGTGGCTGTTTTGTGTATAGTACCATAACACTCTTTTTAGTACTGGATAGGTCAGGCAGAGAAAAAGAATCAGAAAGTACACAGATTTGAATGATTGACAGTCTTGATAGAATATACAAAACATTGCATATAGTTGTTTACATTCTTTTCAGATACACACAAATGTCTATGGAAATTGACTGTTTACTGGACACATAAAGCAAGTTTTAACAAACTTGAAATAATTGGTTTTCTTCCCACCATGTCCTCAGTCTTTATTGCTAGTATATAAGAATTAGATAACAAAACAATAACAAGAAAAATATTTATAGGGAAATTAAGTAACGCTTCCAAATGAGTTGCATCAAAGAAGAATTATAACAGAAAATATTTTAAATGGAATGGCAATAATAGTACATCTCAAAACTTGTTGTTTGGCAGAGTTCTAGTTATAGTTACGATGAAACAGCCAGTGTCAGCATTAGTTCTTATAGTAAGTAACAAAAAGCTGGGCAAAATATTTAAAACAATTGTTCATAGGCTCTGAGGAGTGACCAGTACAGGGCTGTAATCCTTGAGAGAAGAAAAGGGCATGAGGTAAGCCCCACAATTGGGAAAAGAGCCCAAGCAGAGTACGTCAGTTGTGTTGGCAGAGATCAAAGTTTAGGACTGTAACTTTGGGATGTGGGAAGCAGGGCACTAGTGGTACAGAGCTGCAGAAAGGGAGTCTAAAATTTTTGCATAAAAATATCCCTAGGGTCCTGGCCACTCTTAGACTGGGCATGCAATTTCTCTGGAGGATCTAGCAGTGGAAATGAATTGTAAGCTGAGAACTGAACAGATTCTTAGCTTCAGAGCTGGGTTCTGAAGTTTTAGTCCAACCAGAGGTGGGGTGAGCGTGATGAATACTCCTGGCATGCCCTTGAAACCCCAGAAAGACCATACTCAAGGAATACAGACCATGCCTTAGGAGTAAGGGCAGTGCCTAAAATCAAGGGCAAAACTGAAATAACCCCAGTCTAACAAAGTCGAATGCCAAGCCTTGATGGAATCTAGATGGCCTGCTATCTCCCTGTAAGAACAAAACTACATTCTTTAGAAGACAATATAAACCAGAACTTCTATATCAGTAGAAGATAATATAAACCAGAACTTCTATATCAGTAATCAATATATGCACAAAGAAGGAGGCAAAAAGCAACCATCTTTTACTTAGCTCAGTGACATAGTTTAAAAAGTTTGATGGGCTTACATTGGTAGCAAGATGGAAGAACAAACATTCTTTGCTGTGGAGTAGCAGCTTCTTAGAGAATGGTTTGGTAAGATCTATCAAAATTCACATTAAAAATCATTCAGTAATTCCACTTTTATGAAGTTCTCCTTATCATATATGCATGTGTGAAAAGACAGATATACAAGTTGATTCATTGCAGAATGTTATATAAAAACAAAAGATTGGAAACAACCTAAATGACTGTTCTGAAGTGGACTGATGAAATAAACTATGGTATTTTTATTCATCAGAATACTATGCAGTGGGATAATATATGTTACATACATATCTAATAAGTAATAATCTCAAAGATAAATTATTGTTAAAAGAACACAGATCAGTTTGTTTCCAGTGCTGCCATTTGTGTAAATGAACAATATTTATAGACAGTCCAAGAAACTGGTAATAGAAATTGCCAGTGGGAGGGCATCTAGGTGGCTGGGCTGTAGAGACAGGGAGACTTTTTATGGTATTTTTTTATACCTCTTGAATATTTTATTATGATGTGTGTTATCTACTCAAAATAATAAAAAGTTATTCCATAGTTAATATTATTAATGGAGCCATCTGAGGGTTGTAATGAGAAATGAAATTCAACCCCTACTTCTCTTTCCTAGCTGTGGTCCATTTGCGTAGAAAGGAGCTTTTTTTTCTAATTCACATAAAAATGCTGTATGAGTTAGTGACCACCCCAACTTCTAAACATATGTTATTTTTTATACATAAACATACACACAAAACATACCTACATATATGTATGTGTATATATCCATACACATACATATATATGCACACACACTACACATACACATGCATACACATGTGGATTCACCCTACAGGTATCTTTGTGAGTACACTAGAATTGATACATTTATTCATTTGCATGCTGATTTTGCTTGTGACTAAACTTACAGCTTTTTTCCCTAAAATAATACAAGCATAATTAGTTAAAATTACTGTATCTTTCTGGGTACAATTTGGTTTTGTTGTTTGTATTTCTGTTACATGACCATTTTTTAAGTATACATAATAGTCTTTTGTGAAGAGGATTCCTTCCAGCACACAAACTGATAAACTTGTTTCAATTTCTGCCTTAGGAGAAAGATACAAGAGTATGTGAACATCCACTCTCAGACATAGTGATTGCCGGGGAAGCTGCTCATCCTTTACCACACACCTTTCACCGCTTGCTGCAGACCATCTCAGACCTTATGATGTCTCTCCCCAGCGGCAGTTCATTACAGCAAATGGCCCTGAGGTAATTTTGGTATCCACATATCCTAGGTACATTGGACAAGAGAGTTTATGGAATATTCAAAGTATGAAATGCTCCAAAAAAAGCTCTTTAAATAGTAAGATAGAATCCCTACATTATATAGATGGTGCCTCCCTCCTTACAGTCATAATTTTTAGAATGGTCCTTCCTCTTAGTTAACATTTGTTTGCCCTCCTGTAAAATGTGGCTAATGTAATTCTTAGTGCCCTAAATTATCACTGTAGCAATCTCCCTCACTTTCCCCAGTCTCCTACCTCAAATCACTTAAATGTCCCAAAAAGAGAGAGGGAAAATGAAATCTCAAAAACAAAAACCAAAATAGAGTTTTGACTTGAAAAGAATCTTGGGGAAAACAGAGCCTGGTTGTATGCACCCAGTCCTAAAAGCACCTTAAGGAGCATCACAGATGCTCAACAGATTCCAATTTCAATTTGAAATGTGTTGAGAATTTAGCATTGCTTTTACACTGTGAACCTTGTTACTAGATTCACATACTGGACTCACACTTATAAATAAATTCTCCTAATTAATGTATACAAGAAATAGATTGATGGAATGCTTGGGCTTCCCATGTTACTAATGATAAGACCAGTGGAAGAGAGATTTCTCTTTGTCCTCCTCACAAGATTTTTGAACTACAAGATAAACTATACCCTGATGAATTAGTATGGCATTGTAAGAGTAATAAATTTGAGGGGTTGTTGCAGTTGGTGTACCACTTGTTTACACAATAGATTCATTACCCTTTTTGCTTCTGTAGCCTTGATCTTCATCTGTCTAATTCTTTTATATTTAAAATGGGTCAACTTTCCTTAGAATTTACCTTGTTCCAAAGAAGTTACCTTTATTTCTCAAAAACAAAAACAATAGGAATGATTTTCTTCCCTGAATTTTTAAAATGTCTGTTACTAGAACATTAAAATTTCTTGAGATATTAGCTACAGAGTACTCATCTAAGAGTTCCTTAGATGTTCCTGGAAAATAATTATTTCGTATATTGCTTATATATCGCCTTTTTAGGTGCTGGAGTCTCAAATTCAAGCAATCTGATCACCAGTTCCTTCATCAGAGCAACGTCTTTCATCACATTAACAATATTTTGTCAAAGTCAGATGATGGCGATAGTGAAGAGAGTTTTAGCATCAGTATACAGTCTGGCTTTGAAGCTATGAGTCAGGTCAGTCATTTCAGTTATTATCCTGGTTGTCCTGTTAGTTAATAATACATCAAAGGAGAAACTGTAAGTTATTCATAATCAATTTGATCCTGTCTTCCATTATGTTTTATCTTATACCTGTTTGTTTTATCATCACGAAAGATTTGCTTTTAAGTATCATAAGTACTTATATTTGTTTCTGATAGGAATTATGCATAGTAATGTGCTTAAAGGACTTAACCAGCATTGTTGACATAAAAACTTCAAGCCGACCTGCCATGATTGGCAGTTTGACAGACGGCTCCACAGAAACCTTTTGGGAATCAGGAGATGAAGATAAAAACAAAACTAAGAACATCACCATCAACTGTGTAAAAGGAATCAATGCCCGCTATGTGTCTGTTCACGTGGACAATTCCCGAGATCTTGGGGTAAGAAAGCAAACGTGATTTACGGCTCTTTAGCTCTTTTCAGATCTTAGTATTCATGCACTTTCATTTCTGAATTTAGCAACAAGCTTTATCACCTGGAATTTCACCAACCAAACATCATTGCTATAATCCCCAAATAAATCTTAAGTCTAAAAACAAATTAATATGATTGGGAGCACTGTGGAATTCCATTTCTGAAAAGAGGTCTGATTACAAATATACCATGGCTACAGCTAAGCAAAATGAAAGTCTGCTCTACAATTTTCTGCTGCCATTCCCTTGGTTAAGATTTTCCCGTGACCTGGAAGTCCTCCCCTTAAACTCTGCTGATCAATTCTTCCAGGGTCTCTCAAACTCAGCAGAGAAATTCTAAGTAACTCCTCTAAAAAATTACTCTTTCCCTCTGCTGATTCTTTTTGTATTACTCTGGTGGCACTTAATAATAATCTTTGACCTATAGTGTAATCAGCTTTTTTTTTTTTTTCTGAGATGGAGTCTCCCTCTGTCACCCAGGCTGGAGTGCAGTGGCACAATCTTGGCTCACTGCAACCTTCGCCTCCAGGTTCAAACGATTCTCCTGCTTCAACCTCCTGAGTAGCTGGGATTACAAGCACACGCCACCATGCTTGGCTAATTTTTGTATTTTTAGTAGAGACAGGGTTTCACCATGTTGTCCAGGCCGGTCTCAAACCCCTGGCCTCAAGTGATCTGCCCACCTCAGCCTCCCAAAGTGCTAGGATTACAGACATGAGCCACTGCACCCAGCCTATCTTCAAGTGTCTACTTTGCCACAGTCCTCATGAAATAAAAAATAAGTTTCAGACTGTCCCAAATAATCATAATTTATATTCTCTTCAGCCTAGTTCATCCATGTGTTTCAACTGAATTAAATATTCTTTTATAAAAGGCACTAAACAAGAAAAAAGAGTCCTATTTGCTTGAGTATTAACAACCAAGAAAGAAATAGCACTAACTGCCAGACTGCCTTTCTTCTACCTCATTTAGAATTTTTTTCCTCAGAATGGATGTGGCTTGCTAGCAGATACAGTATTAATGGCTCTCCTTGAACCATTGCCTGGCTTCTCCTGTGCCATTTGCATATTTCCTTTCTCAGGAAGAGCCACAGTGGTAGGATTGGGTCTCAGATAACCTGGATGCAGGCCAGTCTGCAATCAGAGCAACCTCCAACTCCTGTACATCAGTGCAGGTTCTATTCCTCCCTGGTATTGAGTAAGTAAAAGAGGCTTAGCTAATATAATATGAGCTATTTCCTCCTCAGACCTAAGAATTTCCACTGGTGTAACTACTTTATCTTACTGGAAAGTCAAGTGTAACAAAGCAAAACATTTTTGTAGCTAGAACTCACTGTTCAGTGCAAAGCTATCTTTGGCTCATGGTACATTTTAAGCAAGGACATACTCTCCCTCAGAACAATGATTGCAATCAATTTAACACTTCTGTCTTTTCTAAGAGGAAATAATCATAACAGTATTCATTTTCAAAATTCCCAACATGTAAGCTGACATCTACTTTCCTTTTAACAGGCTTCCTCTATGTTATAGGTTGAGCATTCCAAATCTGAAAATCCAAAATGCTACAGAATCTGAAACTTTTTGAACACAGATATGACACTTAAAGGAAATGCATATTGGAGCATTTCTGGTTTTAGATATTCAGATTTGGGGTGCCCAGCCAGTAAGGATAATGCAAATAGAGTATTTCAAAATCCTAAAAAATCCCTAATCCAAAACACTTCTAGTCCCAAATATTTCTAATAAAGGATACTCAACCTGTATGTATGTTTTCCTTGAGTTATGTACCTCCATGTTCCTCAACCTGCCTACCACAGAGCCTTGTACACAGCATTTGTTGATTTGAGTTGTATCAGCCTACAGCACTCATATTATGCAGCTCTCCAAGGAATTAATGTTAATCTATTTCTTGATGTGCTTTGCGTAAAACTTATTCAGCCTTAAGATATTTGACACTAGTTTGAACATGTATTGAACTTGTACTGTTTGACATTTATTTTGTGTATTAATGTTGCCTTCCCTAGTTTGGCAAGTATCTTGGGGGATAGAACCTCCTCTCATATATCCTACTTCAAATCTGTAAGGAAGTCTGGGTACATTGTGACACTCATAAGTATTTGTTAGTTCAGTTACCTTCCCTCTTTATACTTCCAAAAGTAATGAAAATATAGCAACAAGAGTCTGACATAAGTGACAAGCAGATTTGTTGAAAGGCTTCATGAGGAAGGAATCTGAATATTTAGACTTTGAATAAGGAGAGGGAATGTCAAGCTGTGAGAGAGCACCTGGAGAGAGGCTGAAATGTGCAATTTAAGATGGAGTTTGTGAGAATGAGACTAAAGTTATAGGAACCGTGGTTAGTTGGAGGGATGGGGTGGGGTCAATCAGGAAGGACCATAAGAGACAGGCAGAAGAGTTGATGTGGTATTAGTAGGTCATGAGAAACCATTGTAAGTTCTGAAGCAGGAATATAGCATATTAACTATTGTGAATTGTCTATTTCAGAATAAAGTTACCTCAATGACCTTCTTAACTGGCAAAGCAGTAGAAGATTTGTGCAGAATAAAGCAGGTAATTGAAATTTTGTCATTAAATGTTTCGCTACCTAGAGAGAAATTTCTTCTTCTCAGCCTTCACTATTGAATTCCACCCTTGGCACACAACCAAAGTATTATAGGGAATTATCTATTTACAGAACACTAAATTGACAAGTGGTCCAAAACATAGGAATAGTAACCACCATCCCTGTGCTGGACATCTCACCTGTTTTCCTAAATGTTCCCCAGTCATGAGCAATTATATTGTACCTACAGTCTCCCTACCCTACTCCCCAACAAAGACTCAGGGTATCTTAAAATTTATCACAGATCCCATTCACACTTAAAACCTTACTTCACCTATACTTTGAGTTAATACAGGTTATTGTCCTCTGGCCTGAAAAATCTGTCTGTTATAACACTTATAACACTGCAGCTATATCCAGGTTGCAAGTCAGTTTAAACCAACTTTAGAAACAAGTTAAGTTTTATCTAGGCATGTGTCTGAGACTGTGCTCAAGCTCCCTTACTTGTATTCATGAAACTTTGTCAAATCTGTTCCTCACTGGCTACTTTATCTCACAAAAAGTTGGCCAATCGCTTGCTTGCTTGCTTGTTTTCAAATCACATTGAAGGAATCAATTAAGATTTTGGACTAAACATATAATAAATTTTGTTTAAATTGTTGAAGAATTTGGGAAAATAATCCTATTCAATGAGATTGTGTTTGTTTATACTTAATACCCCTTTTTGAAAATTGACATTATTAATTAAAATAATATCAACTTAATGTCTATTTAAATCACATAGAAATCGCCAGGTCATTTCTTGGTTATTAAATGCCATAAGAACAGTTTTTATTTTATGAAGGGAATAGTGTCAAGAACTATTTCACAGTATATTAACATTTAATCCTTGAAAAAAAAAGTCATATTCTCAATGAAAATTAGTGAAATAAGGAATCACAAGTGTGAAGTTACATATTATGTAATTTTTGTTCAAAAGTAAAACATATTAAGTAACTGCACTTTAAAGTCCCTTATCTTTAAATGGTACTTTAATGTGAGGATGCACAAAAAAAGAACCCTTTTCTGATCTTGTGAGGTTTCCACTTACAGATGATATAGATAAAGTACAGTCATATAAATTATTTGTAATTATTTCACTCATATAATTTTGCTCGGAAGCCATATCGTAGTCAGGCCTGGATTTTAATTCTCAATTCCACCATTTACTGAAAATCCCTTAACCTGTATTAACCTTAGTTTCTTCATCTGTGTAATAGCTACTATAAATAATATTACTTATCTTCACCTGGTTGAAATAAGAAAATCAGTGTGAAATAACCTCATAACCTTTACTCTGTGCAATTCTTTGTTATTTGAGCTTGCTGGTATCAATGCTAAGTCCAGCACAGTGATAAAAGTGATCCAGCTGAATCAGGTTCCTGCCTCTTTTCTACTCAACCAGGTTGATCTGGATTCCAGGCACATTGGCTGGGTAACAAGTGAACTTCCAGGAGGGGATAATCACATCATAAAAATTGAATTAAAAGGCCCAGAAAATACACTGAGAGTTCGACAAGTCAAAGTCCTGGGCTGGAAAGATGGTGAAAGCACAAAAATAGCTGGCCAGATTTCAGCCAGTGTGGCCCAGCAGAGGAACTGTGAAGCTGAGACTCTGCGAGTATTCAGACTGATTACGTCTCAAGTGAGTGTCCTTACAACATATTCTAGCACAGGATAATTGATGTAATATATTTTAAGAGTGTAACAAAATATTTTGTGAAACTTATTACAGAAATTTCTGGCTATAAATGTTGCCCATTTTTTCTTTTCATAGCCCTAAACACCTGAGTTCCATGTTGCATTTGTAATTAAGAAAAATAGTGGTGTATATTAGCAAGAGTAGCATATTATAAAACCTGCGGAATCAGCTAATGAGTCCTCTGGCCAATATAGTGTTAATGCCTGTCATTAATTCCTTCTCACATGCATATCTTCATCAGGTATTTGGAAAGCTCATCTCTGGAGATGCTGAACCTACACCAGAACAAGAGGAAAAAGCACTATTGTCATCACCTGAAGGAGAAGAAAAAGTATACAATGTATTTATTTGTATTCTAAAGATATTTATTTCCCTTTTTTATTCTTTTTTTCAGTGAAATAATTCATTTATTGCTGTATATTTTGATGGATATGTAATAACAGTTTTATGCAGTTCATATTTGTTCTTAGAAAGATGAAGGAACTATCTAAAAGAAATTCATTATTCATGTATAATCTAGCTAGTATTTTAAGTAACAGCAAATTTGCTCTATACCTTGGGTTTTTGCATTCATTTGTAATCATTTCTGTGCTATACCCCATCAGTTATCTTCTCCCTCCTCCATTGTCCCTGTCCTTCACAGTTCAGCTCAAAAGTACTGTCTTCTTCATGAAACTTTTTTACGATTTATCCTCTTCATGAAATTTGTTTATGATTTCCCCAAACAAAAGCAGTTTTCTCTCTGCTGGAGTTCATAATAATCTGTATGTGTCTCTTCTTCATTTTTCTCTTATGTTTATCTACATGGATGTTTTCTCTCTTCTACTGAACCATAGCTTCTTAAAGACCAAGTCCATGTCTAATTTGTCTTTGTATCCATCATGGTAGCATCACACACATGTTTAGTAAATTTTTATTAGAATAACTACTCTTTGTTACTGTTCTTGAAATTTCTTGCAAAAATACAGTTGCTTTACTTTTTCGGTCCTGACTAAAACACTATACCTAAAACTTTTGTACTTCATCCATTTGCAAAAAGAGAAGTCAACTCTGACTAGTCTCAATATTCTAGTGTCTTTAAATGCTACAAATAATCACCTTGGCAGCCCTTTGAAAGATAAATTTCAAGGATTTCCCTTGTCTCACCCTGTGTTTCTTAATACAGTAGTATCTAATCATTGTCCTGTTTTTGTTTGAGGTCTGAAAAAAATAAGATTTCTTAAATGCTGGTAACTTCTTTCAACATCTTTTGGAGATTTCATTTGAATGACTACAAGACTGTGTAACTACCTGTTAAGTCAATTGAATTTTAGCAGATGTCAACTCTGTACTAAACAATTGTGAGAATGGCAAGCCCTCAAAAAGCTTGCATTCTGTTCTTGGTTATGAACCCTCTGCATTCCCCTCACCCCCCCCAAAAAGAAATCAACAAAGATACTATATAGTATAAAAGCAAGTTATTAAATGTGTGAAAAAAATTGCAGATGACATTGGCTTTCAGAGTACCTTGAGATCATTGTGCCCTGGAGTGGTCAGAGAAGGCTTCTTAGGGGATATTGGACTGGAGTTAGATCTGAAAGAGAATGAAGGGATTCAAATGAGATTAGTAGAGAGAATGGGAGCAAGGACTGATCAGAGAGACTGGCCTAAGGGTGGGAGAGTGTATGCTGAGGAGTTAAGGTTGAGTAGGAAAGGTTATACTGTCATGTGTGTGCCCATGAAATAACATGATTTTTAAGAGAATCTTTTTTTAAGTTAGATTATTGAAGCACAATTTACATACAGAAATTCCTCATTTTAAACTGTATCATTCAATGAATTTTTACTTGTGTACACTAGTGAAATCATTATCACAATCAAGTTTGTTTTGTTTTGTTTTGCTTGAGACCGGGTCTCTCTCTGTCATCCAGGATAGAGTGCAGTGGTATGATCACGGCTCACTGCAACCTCAACCTCCCGGGCTCAATGGATCCTCCTGTCTCAGCCTCCCAAGTAGCTGGAACTACAGGTGCACGTCACCGTGCCCAGCTGATTTTAATATATCTGCAGAGATGTGGTTTTGCCATGTTGCCCAGGCTGGTCTCAGACTCCTGGGCTCAAGCAGTCTGCCAGCATTGGCCTCCCAAAGTGCTGAGATTACAGATATGAGCCACCATGCCCAGCCCACAACCAAGTTTTAAAACACATCACTCCCCAAATTTCTCTCATGTTCCTTTGCAGGCAATCCCCCAACCTCACACTTAGAGCCTAGCAACTACTGAACTATATTCTGCCAGTGTTGTGTTGCCTTTTCCTGGATGTCATATAAATGGAACCACTCAGAATGTAGCCTTTTTGTCTTGTTTCTTTCACTTTAGTGTAATGCTTTTGAGATTTATCCATGTTGTAGCATGTAGCCATGGTTCATTCTTTTGGTTGCTGAGAAGTGTTCCATTATATGGATTTACCGTAATTTGTTTATCCTTTCATTTTTTGATGGATATTTGGGTTGTTTCTGCTGTTTGGCTACTATTAGTAAAGCTGCTGTGAACACTCACATACAGATCTTTGCAGGTCTTTTACCAATTATGTGTTTTCAAATATTTTCTCCTAGTCTGTGTCTTATCTTTCAGAGAACAGAAGTTTTTAAGTTTGATAAAGTCCAGTTTTTTCTTGTTTTTTTGATTCATGATTTTTATGTATGGTCTAGAACCCAAGGTCACACAGATATTCTCTTCTTTTCCTTTAGAAATGTTATAGTTTTAGTTCTTTTCTTTAGAACTGTATACATTTTAATTTTTATGTGCAGTGTAAGAATTGAGGCTTATCTTTTGCATATAGATGTTCAATTGTTCTACTACGATTCATTGAGAAGACTATCATTTATCAATAGTCAATTTACCATAAATGGTAGGTCTGTTTCTGGACTCTATTCTGCTCCATTGATCCATCAAAGTGTCTTACTTACTGTAGCTTTATAAAAAGTCTTGATATCAGGTTCTAACTTTGTTCTTTATCTAAGTTATTTTGGCTATTCTAGATCTCTTGCATTTCCATATAAAGCTTAGAATCAGCTTGACCGTTTCTTTAAAAAAAAAAGGGGGGGGGGCGGTGGGGATGGAATTTTGACTGGAATTAACACCAAATTGATAGTTTAGGGAGAATCGCCATGTCAATAATATTGAGTCTTCGTATCTGTGAACATGATATGTATCAGGGGTTTTCTTACATCTGTTTAAAATTTCTCTCAGCAGTGTTTTGTAATTCATTGTACACATCTTGTACATATTTTATTAAATTTATTCCTAAACATTTAACATTTGTAAAGCTATTGTAAATGGTATTTTTTATTTCACTTTCCAATTGTTCATTTCTAGTGTATAAAAATAGAATTGACTTTTGTATATTAGATTTCTACCCTGTGATCTTAAATTCACTTACTAATTTCAGAAACTTTTTATAGACTCTTTGGGGTTTTCTTAGATAATCATGTAGTCTTCAATAAATTTGGGTTTTTTCCTTTCTAAACTATATGCCTTAAATTTCTTTTCTTATATTATTGTGTTATTGCATTGATTAAGCCCTTAAGCGCCATGCTGAATAGAAGTAATGAGAACAGATAGCTCTGACTTGTTCTGGATCTTGAAAAGAAAGTATAAACCATTCATTATTAAGTGTGATGTGAACTGTAGATTTTTTGGGGGTGAATCTTTTTAATAAGATTGGAGAATGTTTTCTTCTATTCCTAGTTTGCTGAGAATTTCTATCAGAATGGATTCTTTTTTAAGAGACCTGGTCTTAACTCTGTCACCCAGACAAGAGCACAGTGGTACCTTTATATGTTTCTCTTTCTTCATTTCTTTTATTCCGTAAGATAATCCATATATTGCTATGCATTTTAGTCAACATGTGATACTAGCTTGTATACAGTTCATTTTCCTTCAGTGAAAAAAAAAACTAGGGGATGGTAGCTACATGATATAGTGCTTCTTTTAGAAGTAATAAAAATGCTGTAATATTGACTGACGACGATAGTTGCACATATCTGAATGTACTAAAAACCATTGAATTCTATGCTTTAAACAGATGAATAGCATGGTATGTGAACTATATCTCAATAAAGATGTTTTTAAAAAGCAAAAATAAATGATGAAAGAGGTAAACAAGATGAAAGAACTATCTAAAAGAGACTCATATATAATCTAACTAGTACTTAAGTAGCAAAATAAATGCTCTATTCTAAAAATTCACTTTCTTTAATAGATAACAGAGCTGTTTCAGTTATCTGTTTCTTTTTGGGTAAGCTTTAGTAGTTCTGACACTCAAGCAATTTGTCCATTTCATCTAAGTTTCTGGATTTATTGCCATAAGTTGTTCATAATATACCCTTATGTCTTTTTAATATCTGTAGAACCTGTAGTGATGTGTCTTGGTGATTTGTGTCTTCATTCTTTTTTTCTGAAATAGTTTCTCTAAAGATTCATCAGTTTGATCTCTTCAGAGAACTAGCTTTTTGTTTCATTGATTTTCCTCTATTTTTGCTTCTTTTAATAATCACAACTTTATTTCTTTCCCTATGTTTGCCTTGTATTCATTTGTTCATCTTTTTCTGACTTCTTAAGGTCCAAGATCAGATCGTAGACTCCAAGACCTTTCTTTTCTCATCTAAGTATTTAATGCTATTATTTTCTTCTAAGCACTACATTAGCTGCATTTCACAAATTTGGGGTATTCTGTTTTTATTTTCATTCAATTCACAATGTTTTCTTAGTTTTCTTATTCCCATTTGATTTCTTTTTTTTTTTTTTTTTCTTTTTTTTTGAAATGGAGTCTTGCCCTGTCGCCCAGGCTGGAGTGCAGTGGTGCAATCTCGGCTCACTGCAAGCTCTGACTCCTGGGTTCACGCCATTCTCCTGCCTCAGCCTCCCAAGTAGCTGGGAGTACAGGCGCCCGCCACCATGCCCAGCTAATTTTTTGTATTTTTTTTAGTAGAGATGGGGTTTCACCACGTTAGCCAGGATGGTCTCGATCTCCTGACCTCGTGATCCACCCACCTCGGCCTCCCAAAGTGCTGGGATTACAGGCGTGAGCCACTGTATCCGGCCCCATTTTGATTTCTTCTTTGACCCTTGGGTAATTTAGAAGCACCTTGTTTAATTCCCAAATATTTGGGAATTTTCCTGTTAGCTTTATATTATTAATTTCTGGTTCAGTTTCATTGTGGTCAAACTGTATTGTATACTTCGTATAATTTCAGTCCTTTTAAAATTGTTAAGATTTGGATTCTGGCCTATAATATAGTCTGTTTTAGTGAATGTCCACGTGCACTTCAAAAAAATGTGAACTCTGCTGTTCTTCTTTGAGGGGTTCTATAAATATCAGTTAGTTCAAGTTGATCAATAATATTCAAGTCTTTAAGAGCCTTAATATTCAAGTCTTTAAGAGCCTTACTGGTTTTTGGTTTTTTGCTTGTTTACTTGTTCTGTTAAGTACTGAAAGAAGAGTTTTGAAGTATCCAACTAACTGGATTTGTTTATTTGGAATTCATTCTACCTGGTAGCTGATCTCAACATTCTAATGGACTCCAAAAAAAAAGTTTTGGTTTTGTAGATGATCAGGTTTTTCCTCATTGTTAGGGCGAAAGGGACATTCTCTTCTGGCTCTCTATCTTAAGAAATGTAAAACCAAGCATCATTTTTGATTCTTAAACAAAAGAGTTTCTTACCTCAGTTTTCTTACCTGTAAAGTAGGCAAAATATTACAATTTACCTTCTGGGGTTGTTGCGAAGATTAGATAAGATTTGTGTGTGTGTGTGTGTGTGTGTGTGTGTGTGTGTGTGCGTGTGCACACACGTGCATGCATATATATATATACACACACATATATACATATGTGGCACTTAGAAGAACAGCGTGCACATAATAAGCTCTATAAAATTTTAGCCTTTATATTTTTCCTTATGATACATTTCTTTGATGACTTGGTGTTCCGATAGCTTAATTTAAGACCACTATCATCACAGAGGTTTGTTAGGACACTTTCCTTTTAAACAAATGTTATTTTCCTGGATTGTTCTTCAAACAATTAAATGTGGGATGTGAACTAATAATGTTTACAATTTAGAAATAGATTTAATCAAAGCTACTCAAATTGACTACATTAAAGAAATTTGTGAAAGGAGAATATACTTCTCTGAATTTCCTAAGTTCTGAGATTTTGTTCTTTTTATTTCAAACTTTATCCTTTGTCTTAGTATTATAAGCCTCAATTTAAAATAAATTTACTTTAAAAATATATACACAAAATTATTTCTCAAGTTACTTTGAAATATCACATATACAAATTTTATTTAAAGAGACCACTTCATTCTTTTTTTTTTTTTTCTTTTTCTATGTAAAGGCAACATCAGATGCTGACCTGAAAGAACATATGGTTGGAATCATATTCAGCAGGAGTAAGCTGACTAACTTACAAAAACAGGTTGGTTAACAGCTATTTCATTGTCTTCATTAGTTTTGTGTGTGTGTGTGTGTGTGTTTGTTTGTTTGTCTGTTTGTTTGTTATTAGGGTATAAAGCAGGGATGTCCAATCTTTTGGCTTCCCTGGGCCATATTTGAAGAAAAAGAATTGTCTTAGGCTACACATAAAATACACTAAGGCTAACAATAGCTGATGAACTAAAAAAAAAATTGCAAGAAAAAAAAATCTCCTAATACTTTAAGAAAGTTTATGAATTTGTGTTGGGCCACATTCAAAGCCATCCTGGGCCACAGGCAGTCCCCCGGCTGCAGGTTGGATGAGCTTGGTATAAAGTATTTTGAAAAATTTATGAAGGCTTTTTTATGCTCGCCCTTTTATAGGTCCTGCAGAATGTGCCTGCCATTTTTTAGAGAGGAATGAGTATTTTGGCATACCTTCATCATTTTAAAGATTTTACTTATGAAAACTTGCTTACCTTGCTGCTATTTGTTATGGGTAGATTTTTTATTTGGTGTCAAATACCCAGCTATATCAGATTTGATTTGCATTTCCCATATTTCTTTTCCCCCATTCTTCTGTGTGTTGGCTGAGCAATTAACAGTGTTAACTATACCAGTGTTAATATTTTTAAATATAACCAGGTGAGGAAATAGCGCTATATTGTTCATATAATGGGGTGCTACATAACATAAAAATATCACTTCAAAAGTCAAATAAAATATTGATTTTAAATTAACCTATTATTCTAACTTTTTTTTTTTTCGAGAGGGAGTCTCGCTCTGTTGCCCAGGCTGGAGTGCAGTGGTGCGATCTCGGCCCACTGCAAGCTCCGCCTCCTGGGTTCACACCATTCTCCTGCCTCAGCCTCCTGAGTAGCTGGGACTACAGATGCCTGCCACCACGGCTGGCTAATTTTTTTTTTTTTTTTTTTTTTTTTTAGTACAGACGGGGTTTCACCGTGTTAGCCAGGATGGTCTCGATCTCCTGACCTCGTGATCCACCCGCCTCGGCCTCCCAAAGTGCTGGGATTACAGGCATAATATTTTTGTATTTTTAGTAGAGACGGGGTTTCACCGTGTTAGCCAGAATGGTCTCGATCTCCTGACCTCATGATCCACCTGCCTCGGCCTCCCAAACTGCTGGGATTACAGGTGTAATTTTTTTGTATTTTTAGTAGAGACGGGATTTCACCATATTAGCCAGGATGGTCTCGATCTCCTGATCTCATGATCCGCCCGCCTCGGCCTCCCAAATTGCTGGGATTACAGGCGTGAGCCACGGCACCCAGCCCTATTCTAACTTTCTACACTATTATTCTTTTCAATGAACTACAACATGAATTTATTTTTGCTTTATCTTTCTAGCAGTGTTTCATTGAATCTTAGATGCTTTCAATTGTAAAATGTCATGTATAATTTCAGTATTGTGAATCTTATCAGCTATAAAGCACCTTATGAACATAATGGTAAACCATGAGAAAAAGTGCCTTCAGTGATAAAATATGGTGATTGGTTTTTGACGTGCTAAACTGTAAGCATAGGCATTAATAACTTGCATATAATCAGTTTGCACATAGTAGTTGATTTAAATATTTCCATTTTTATTGTGGCTCCCTTAGCTTTACTTGTTTCTTAGATGAGTTAAGAGAATGACATATGATGGAGAATTAACTGGGAGAATAGTATTAAATTGAGTATCAATTTACATTCTTGTCTTATTCTTTTGTTTGCTTGTTTTGCTAGGAGTAGTAAATCAAACTAACCCTATATTTTTACATGTTCTGTGTTAACTTTAAATAGGTGTGTGCTCATATTGTCCAAGCTATTCGCATGGAAGCTACCAGAGTCCGTGAAGAATGGGAACATGCTATATCAAGCAAAGAAAATGCCAATTCTCAGCCAAATGATGAAGATGCCTCCTCTGATGCCTACTGCTTTGAGCTGCTCTCTATGGTTTTAGCACTGAGTGGCTCTAACGTTGGCCGGCAATATCTGGCTCAACAGCTAACCCTGCTTCAGGATCTCTTCTCGCTGCTTCACACAGCCTCTCCTAGAGTCCAGAGACAGGTGACTGATCACACTACAGCCTTTCCATTGCTTTTGTTACTTGAAACATTGTTAAAAGTTGCAATGCAAAGAGAATTATCTAAGGACCCTAAGTATAGATTTTTATTTCGTATTTTGTTATATTTTGTTTGGGGCCTGTATTTTACTCCCTTTTTTACTGTTTATAGTGAGAGTATAGAATAGTAAAATATGTTCCATTTTATTAATGTGTTGTGATAAGAGAGTATTCTGGCTACTGATTACCATATTACCATGAAATATATAATGTCATTTAGCCCTGACCAGAAAGAAAAGGTATTTTTTTTCGTGCTGCCTTGGGTTAGTAATTACCACTACTATTACCATTTGAATAGTATGTATATCATATTTTCTTCCTTCACAAAATGTAAAATAGTGTTTAAATCATATTTCTTTTCTTAAAGATTTTGAAGTTACAGAATGGTAGTTAGGTACATTAAAAAATGAAGCCTGGGATGGGGTACAGTGACTTATGCCTGTAATCCCAGCACTTTGGGAGGCAAAGCTGGGAGGATCCCTTGAGCCTAGGAGTTCAAGGCTGCAGTGAGCTGTGGTTGCTCCACTGCACTCCAACCTGGGCAACAAAGCAAGACCCTGTCTTTAAAAAAAGAAAAGAGAAATAAAAGAAACCTTAAAACATTAGTCTTTACATGGAATTCTCTCATTTTATTTTTCTTACCAGGTAACCTCTTTACTAAGAAGAGTTTTGCCTGAAGTAACCCCTAGTCGTCTGGCCAGCATCATAGGAGTGAAATCCCTCCCCCCAGCAGATATCAGTGATATCATTCACTCAACAGAGAAAGGAGACTGGAATAAGCTGGGTATCTTGGACATGTTTCTAGGATGCATTGCCAAAGCACTCACTGTACAGCTAAAAGCCAAAGGAACCACCATCACTGGAACAGCTGGTACCACTGTGGGCAAAGGAGTTACAACAGTTACTCTTCCGATGATTTTCAATTCCAGGTTAGTTATTGCCTCTATTTTAGTACCAAAACAGAATAGAGTGAGCTACTGTTCAGAAATTTAAGACATAATTTCAGATTTTACCTTGTTAGGTTACTCACCAAATAAAATCCATAAACAACTGGCTAATATCTAAAAAGGTCATGTATATAATAAAAGTGTCATTTATAATTAGTGGGGAATAGAAAGTAGGCTGAATATGTGATGTCAGAATATTTGGATATCCATGTTAAAAAAAATTCTAGATACCTACCTCTCACCATATACAAAATTAAACTTCAGTTTTAGGTAATATGTTTTTTTGCCACAATAAAAAGAAATAAATATGGGGGAATAAAGTAAAGTTCAGGTCAACTAAAGCTTTATGTACATTTCTTTTTAAAACTGTACTGGGACAAATTATAGAAGAATATTTTTGTAATCTTCAATTTGATAAGACCTTCTTAAACAAAACACAGAACCCAAAATCATATAGGAAGATATTTATAGATTTGACTATATAAAAATGAAAATTACTTGATAGGTGATAATATTTAAATGTTTTAAAATATAGGGAAATAACTTAGAAAAATACTTAAACCTATATAATAGACAATGACTTGTTAGCATAATATAGAAGTATGACTACAAATCAATTTTAAAAAGGCAAACAACTGATAAGAATAATAAATGACAAGAACAGTCAGTTCACAGAAAAAAACTTATAAATGCCAGTAGTCAGTTCACAGAAAAAAACTTATAAATGCCAGTAAACAAATGAAAACACCTCACTACTAATCAGAGAAATGTAGATTAAAATAATTGCAAAATATCTTTGATGCTTTGGCAACATTATGAGGAAATAGGCATTTTCATCTCATATAAATTGCTGCAGCCTTTTTGGATATCTGTTTATAATATCTAACTATATTTTAAATATGCATATCTTTTGACCTACCAATTCTACTTCTAAAACTTTCATGCATTTGCACCAAGGTATATATGCAAGGATGTTCTGTAATTGTGTGTAACAGTAGAGAATTAGAGACATCTGAACAGTGCTACTTGTAGAGCCAATCCATGACAATATGCAGATAACATCAGAATGTTAATCATTGTATCACTTCTTTCCTGTAGTCTTGCTAGGAAAAAAGTCAGCTGAACTAAATAGTAGTGTGCTTAGTGATACAGTGAATTTATATTCCGGTTAAGCTCCACATTATCCGCATGTGCCCTAGAAATAAGTCGTGTGTGGTCCCTGGACTGTACTTCTAAAAGATGCACACAGAAATAATGTGCAAACAGAGAAATACTTGAAAGGGAACTCAAATAACCTTAACTGCTGTCTTGGGATTTGGGGTAATGGTTTGATGAATTTTCTTTTTAAATGTTTTAATTGATTCAGTCACTTAAAAATCTAAAATGCTGCATTCTGAAATAACATTTTCATCTTTTTCATTTGTTACTACTACTGATAATTTATTGGCTTTTTAAGTGCTAATTTTTCTTGTAGTTATCTCCGACGAGGTGAAAGTCATTGGTGGATGAAGGGCTCAACCCCTACCCAGATCTCAGAGATCATCATTAAACTTATCAAGGATATGGCAGCAGTAAGTTCCCATTCTTCTGTTTTGGCAGTGAAGTGCGGCAGGAAGCTGACACAAAACAGCTTACTCTGCTGAATTGATAGGAGATGTAGATTAGTGTAACTTTACTTAAAGACTATTTGTAGTATGTTAACTATCATGCTGTTTGTCTTTTCAGTGAGTGATAATTTGTCATTTATGTAAACCATGTTCATTTCAAATTTTCCAGTTAATTTGTGTGGGAATTGTTACGTGACTTTAAAATCTAATAAAATAAAATATGCTCTTTCAGACCCTAAGAAAGAACTTGATTCAAAAAACCTAAAGGAAAAAAAGAGGAAGAGAGCTCTCGAAAGTGGAAGTTTCTCATTCTCCTCAGTCCTCATGGTTTTTAAACCCTTTATTCTTCTTTATTAATGTCATATACCCTCTGTCTTAAGATGGTGGCTTCCAAAGGAGATCTGGGAGTGTGGAGGACAGGGAGTTACTTTACAGAATGCCTGGCTCTGATTAGTTGCTCCTTGTCATTTTCCACACATTGTATTATTTCTAGGAGGGCAGCCTGAGAAGGACAAGATAGTATGGAATGTAGAGTCAGAAGGAATAGAAGGCAGCTTGGAGAAGGAGGAGGAATTGAACTGCCCCTTAAATCATGTGGATATGAGAAGTGGGAGGATTTTCTGGGGGAAAGATGAAGTTCTATCACTTTTCCCAACAGCGTGGATATTTTCTCAACCTCTGTGGCAAACAGACTTTCTCAGGGTGTTCATTGAATTAAAATATTTAGGAGTAATATTTAGGAACACCTAAATTATATGATAGTTAAATGTTTGTTCATTACAAATCAAGGTAGCAAATAAAGGTAGTTGCAGTTTGAACCTGTTTATATTTTAGGTTCCTGTAATACTCATCTAAAGCAGTTAGCTTCACTGTGTAAATTTTATGCTAAGTGACAAACTTCTCAAACATAGATAACCTTAGTATTTCTGTTATGTTTTTATCAGATGTGAGAGTAATTGCCCTTGATTTCCAGGAAAAGAGTATTGAGAACTTAATTTTTTATTTATTTATTTTTAAATATCAAAATGATGATTAGAAGTTGAATTTTCCATAGGATCACGAAGAAATTTTAGTTCAAAAGTTTGTGCCCATAATCTAAAATTCCATGGTCTCACTAAAAACAAATATTTCCTTTGATAGGAGATGTTATTTAAGAAAAAAGAGTTTACTATGGTAATACATTTCTGGTCACTTATTAAAATACTCTGTTCTGCTCAATAGGGTCATCTGTCAGAAGCTTGGTCCCGAGTGACAAAAAATGCTATTGCAGAAACCATCATTGCCTTGACCAAGATGGAAGAAGAATTTAGGTCTCCAGTGAGATGTATTGCAACAACTAGAGTAGGTTTTGCTTTGTTTTGTTTTGTTTTAAATTTGGTGTGTATCATTGCGTGTTCTTTTTTAGTAATAGATTTAAACAAATTTTAATCACTAAGTCAACATAATTATTTTTTAACCAAATACCGTATTTATTGAAAAAGTATAAAGGGCTTTTATATTATGAACTAGTCGTTACTTCTCACTGTTATGTGTTCTGTGTCACTTGTTTTTGTTATTGTTTAGGAAGCCAAGGGTACACTGGTTAGAAAAGGCTAATTACATTGTACATTGTTTGCGTGTTGTCTTTCTAATGATCTGTTTGCTGTAGTTTACCACAGTAAGTTTAGTGCCAGCATTATGCTGTGATAGACCGAAGGTCCTTTGGAGACAAGACCCCTGCCTATGCCTGGTTGTTCCTAATGTAGAGCCCTGTAACTTACTTACAGGATTTATAGGTCTTACTTCTAAAAAGCAAGAAGTGCTTGTCCAGGGCAGGGTCAGGGTGGAAATCTTTGAGGAAATGAGATTGCATTCTTCAGATGACACATTTATAGTAAGTTTTAACCTGCTAGATTTCATGTCCCATATACTTCCAGAAGAGATTTGAGATTTCCTTGAAGGAGGGCAGTCTGACAACGTTAGGAAGAAGTGAATGCTGGTAAAAATTGCTTAGGTTAATCCTCAGAAATCTGAAGAAGATAAACTATATATCCCTAGGGCGGAAAAAGTCAATTTATGCTATCTTGCTATTATTGACTGTGACACCTGAAATAGGTATTTTTGACAGTAATCCTTTCCTACCACTCATGTGTTGCTTTCTTTCAGTCTGCATTCCCCTTCCTCCTTGCATGCATTATTTCTTTTTCTATTTTTCTGTCCCTATTTTAACATCTCTTGCTTTCTGTATCCAATAACACTCACATGCACTTCTTAGAGTTGAGCTAGTTAAGTCATTTTCTATTCTTCATTAATGAGGGGATATATCATTCTATATAAAACTGAAGCTTACCCTTTAAGCCTCAGAAATTTTTAACTATTTCTGAAAACAGTTGTCTTTTTTTTTTTTTTTTTTTTTTTGAGACAGAGTTTCACTCTTGATGCCCAGGCTGGAGTGCAATGGTACGATCTTGGCTCACTGCAGCCTCCGCCTGCAGGTACAAGCGATTCTCCTGTCTCAGCCTCCCAAGTAGCTCGGATTACAGGCATATACCACCACACCTGGCTAATTTTTTTTGTATTTAGTAAAGACTGGGTTTCACCATGTTAGTCAGGCTGGTCATAACCCCCTGACCTCAGGTGATCCACCCACCTTGGCCTCCCAAAGTGCTGGGATTACAGGCATGTGCCACTGTGCCCGGCCCTATTTTGGAGAACAGTTTTCTAAAGCTTTTAGACATGTATGTATTTCTGACAAAGTGCACCAAGTATAGTATTAGGCTTTCTGGGGCAACAAGGGGCAACAAAGACTTCTGAGGAACTTTTATTATCTAGAAGGATTTAATGTGTACCTGACTACTCATGGGACTGTACACAATTTAGCAGTTGCTGTACCACCTTCTTTGGCATTTAATGATACTAAATGGAAAAATATTCAGAAGACATTAGTAGTAAATATTAAATATGCCAATTCATTTATTCATATGTTGTTTACATAGTAGACCAATAAAGGATAATTTTATTTGTCAGATAGAAGACAGGGTGGTTCATCAGAGAAACAGTCACTTGTTCAGTAGATATCTGAGTGCCTCCTGTGTGCATGGCACATAGGACAGTGATCGTGTATGCCTGCTACCACATCAGGAAGACTTGAGTGCCACTGAGTATCTATGTATTTTCAAAATCAGCCAGCATTTATTGAGCTGTTGTGATGTGTCACAGTCAGCATTTCATAAGTCTTTCCTAAAAATTCAGTGGTGTAACAGCCTTCCCTTTCAACAGCTCTGGCTTGCTCTCGCATCCCTATGTGTTCTTGATCAGGACCACGTAGATCGTCTCTCCTCGGGGAGATGGATGGGAAAGGATGGACAACAAAAACAAATGGTAAGATCAGAATTTTGTAAGAATTTATCTTGCTTTCCTTTACAGTAAGCTTTAGCTTAGCTTAAAAACAAACAAACAAACAAAAAACACATCAACATAAACAGTTAGTGGATCTCTTGAAAGATTGTGTCCCTTCGGCCAAGTTCATCTCACAAGTCTATTTCAGAGAGTCCCTACTTCATAGTATATGGAAACTTTAGGGGCTTTTATTTAAGTATATTAAAGAGCTTTCTTCTTCTCTGAGTCATGTTTGCATCATATCAAAATTTATTTTTAGCCAGAGTCTGATTTAGTGACTAGATATTTTACTAAAATGTAATCAGTCTTATGGTAGGAAGGAAATAAAGCAATAACACAGGCAACATGACACACCACCTGTTCACATATATACTTAAGTAGGTTTGATGGGTATCTTTAAGTTCACTAGAAAGGAAAACTTTATATAGGCCCTTTCACCATTTTCTTATTAATGTTCAAGTTTCAAAAATAAACAGTTTCTTCCTTTGGCATACAGAATGTTTAGATATATAATGGGGCAGACATTTCTTAAGTCTCTAAGTAACAAAGTATACCTGTTCATTGTATTAATCATTGAACCTGCAAAGCACATTAATGATTGGATTTGGAGTTTTGAGAGATTTTTATAGTTAAGTACATTTGCAATAATTCTGTTTAATATTCAGATTCTAAATTCTTAATAGACTTCCGAATAACGGTTTATTTTTGTAAATAAATTATATTCAATTTGTATGAGAGTCTGAGACTTGCTTGTTAATCTAAGTAACGTGGAAATGTCTTATTTTAGCCTATGTGTGATAACCATGATGATGGTGAAACTGCAGCAATCATTTTATGCAATGTCTGTGGAAATTTATGTACAGACTGTGACAGATTCCTTCACCTTCATCGAAGAACCAAAACTCATCAAAGACAGGTGAAGATTTTTGTCTCTGGAGCATAAAATATGTTCAGTGAATTTTGAAATAAATGTGTGAAAGAGGCTTTGTGTAGTAGGGGGAAAAAGTGGACTTTGGAATCAAAGACCTTGGTTGAGTTCACAGCTGTCTCGCTTACCATCTATAAATAGCAAGTTGTTTTATCCTTAGAAACACTTAATTTCTCCATTTATAAAAAAGGGACTGCTGTGAAGATTAAAGAGAAGATTGGAAATATTCAAAACTTCTTAGAGTGCTTAAATGAAAGCCATTATTATTATTGAATAATTAAATTTTATACTCTCCCTTTCAGAGTGATAAATAAGCATATTTTTCCCTGTTCTTTAATGAAATAATAGGTCTTCAAAGAAGAAGAAGAAGCTATAAAGGTTGACCTTCATGAAGGTTGTGGTAGAACCAAATTGTTCTGGTTGATGGCACTGGCAGATTCTAAAACAATGAAGGCAATGGTGGAATTCCGAGAACACACAGGTAAAAGGTTTAAAGATTGAGCCATGCCTTTAAAACCCACAAAAAAAGATTAAACCGTGCCAACTGATTAAACTGTGAATAATTTTGAGTGATATTCTGATGTTTAATTATGACATCATTGATCTATATATTTACTAAATATATAGAGTGTTCTATGGTGAAGAGAGCATTAGACCAAAAGTCAAGAAACCTGATTTGCCACTAACTAGCTGTGTGGTGTCGAGCAAGTCACTTAACCTCTGGAACTCATTGACTTCATTTATAAAGTGAGAGGATCACAACTAATGGGGCTCCATAGATAAAATACATTTCTATTGATAATTCCCTTCTAGTTCTGCTAGTTGTTGCCCCACAATAAAAATTGCTGCACTAGATGATCACTAAGATCTCTATTTATTATAAGGTTGTATGATTTTATGATATTTAGAGGTTTTTGTAGACCTAATGCTTCTGAAGGTGTTGTGAATGGTACTGTTTCCATTGATAGCAATAAAATAATTAACAAAAATGAATAGACATAAAACAAAAGGTAACCTATGTATGTTAAATGTATTTTTATCTCTAAAACATAGTTTTCATTTTGCTGCTTTTCTAAAGTAAATCTTGTATATTCCTAGTTCAAAGTTATGTTGAATCTTACAAATTCTCAGTTTTCAGCACATCTGCAGTCTGCCATTTGACTGACACGAACTTCCAGTGTTGGAGTTAGGTGTAAATCCGAATCAATTTAATTCTAGGGTGACTTTGCATGCTGCAAGAGCATGACCTTCTTTTCTCATAGTTGATTTCTTCCTCCTATAATCTGTCAGTGCTGTATACTGCATTAATAAATGTTCTAATGTCAAACCATCCTTGTAAACCATCCTTTTTAAATAGATTTTTCTGTAAATATTGCTGAATTCAATATATTGATATTAATTATAGTTAGATTTTTATATCTGTGTTTAAAAATCAGCTTGGTCTGTAATTTTCAAATCTTCACGTTCTTTTTCTTATTGCTCTGTTCTTGTTTTATTGATTCTGTTTCTTCTTTAAGTATTTCAAACATATTTAAATTCCTTTTCAAATTGCAGAGTTCCTGAGGTAGGAATTCTGTTTTTCAAGTTTCATACTCTGATGATAGGCTTTATACCATGCCTTATAATTTTGTTATATATAGTTAAAGATTTCCCTAACTTCTGTGTATTTTTATTTAATTTTTGGTTATCATATTTTTTATGGTATTGTGCATTTGGAGTCAGGGGCTTGTAACAGCTGCTCAGTCTGGTAACTTGACTAGAAGTCTAGTCTGTTTCTTTCACTGAAAAAAAATATTAGTCGAGAGTGTATTTGGCTTCAGATAGGTCTTTAATTTCTTTTTTTGTGTGTCATTATTTACTTTATAATTAGGACAACTTAGAAACCTTCCGTTCTAAAACTGTCAGGCTGATTTCCCAAGGATAGCAACTTATACAAACCTAGTTTGCTTTTTAAAATTTAGTTCTGTTAACATATCTAGAAAACATCCATAAGAAGGATTTTTATTTTTCTGCTTGAACCTAGGCAAACCCACCACGAGTAGCTCAGAAGCATGTCGCTTCTGTGGTTCCAGGAGTGGAACAGAGTTATCTGCTGTTGGCAGTGTTTGTTCTGATGCAGATTGCCAGGTGAGTATATAGTGACACAGGCCATCCCATTGTCCATGTTCCCCTGTGACACCTTTACTTCATACAGAAAAGAGTTTTAGCTCAGCGTCACTCCAGCTTCCTAAATGAGTGTATTACCTATGTGAAGCATCAAATGCCTTACCAAAGTTGAAGAATGGGTCAAATAAGGCTCTCAAGCCCAAACCACACTCTTTTTGTATGTTTCTCAGTTACCATGATCATATGTATTTAATATCTACTTTTGTACTAGAAACAGTTAAAAATTTATGAACTGTATTTCCTTTATCTCTTACAGACATTATTCACTTATTTCCTTAAAATACATTTTCAACATCTAAGAGTTCTTTAATCCTGAACATATATAAACATATTCTATGTTGTCCAAATGTTTTTGGTTTCTCAATTAATAAGAATGTGGATATGCTCAGAGAGTCAAAGGTACCTTTTTAAAAAAAAAAAAAATCTGCATTTTGGTGATGCGGAGAGTGGTGACTGGGAAATTATACATTGGGGAACTTTTTTTATTTTTTATTTTTTTGAGACGGAGTCTGGCTGTGTCGCCCAGGCTGGAGTACAGTGGCACGATCTCGGCTCACTGCAACCTCCGCCTCCCGGGTTCAAGCGATTCTCCTGCCTCAGCTTCCTAAGTAGCTGGGATTACAGGCGCGCGCCACCATGCCTGGTTAATTTTTGTATTTTTAGTAGAGATGGGGTTTCACCATATTGGTCAGGCTGGTCTCAAACTCCTGATCTCGTGATCTGCCCACCTCAGCCTCCCAAAGTGCTGGGATTACAGGTGTAAGCCACGACTCCCAGCCAGGAACTTTTTGCTTTATAGCTGTGCATGATGACAAATATGAAATTATAATTCACTTATCAGCATTCCCTTTATAGAGAGTGGCATTTTTTAAAAATCGCATCAAAAAAAAAAAACTTTGTTAAGAAGCCTAATTTATATTCAAACAAAGATTAGAAATAACTTTACTTTGTTGTTACTTGGCCTGCATAGATACTTCCTGTGGGAAAGTAATCTTTGGAAATTTATATAATAAGGAAAATTACCAGAATGTGTGCTTTTTTACATACTTGTGTAACATTGTAATTCATCTTTAACAGGAATACGCTAAGATAGCCTGTAGTAAGACGCATCCTTGTGGCCATCCATGCGGGGGTGTTAAAAACGAAGAGCACTGTCTGCCCTGTCTACACGGCTGTGACAAAAGTGCCACAAGCCTGAAGCAAGACGCCGATGACATGTGCATGATATGTTTCACCGAAGCGCTCTCGGCAGCACCAGCCATTCAGGTTGCCTCAGCTTTTAAAGTATTGAATGTATCCAGACATTAAGATGGGGAATATATTTGTCAAATAAACATTGATTGAGGCCGGGCGCAGTGGCTCATGCCTGTAATCCCAGCACTTTGGGAGGCCGAGGCAGGTGGATCACGAGGTCAGGAGATCGAGACCATCCTGGCTAACACAGTGAGACCCCGTCTCTACTACAAAAATACAAAAAAATTAGCTGGGCGTGGTGGTGGGTGCCTGTAGTCCCAGCTACTCAGGAGGCTGAGTCAGGAGAATGGCATGAAGCCAGGAGACGGAGCTTGCAGTGATCTGAGATGGCACCACTGCACTGCAGCCTGGTGACAGAGCGAGACTCTGTCTCAAAAAAAAAAAAAAAAAAAAAAGCAGTTGATTGAAATCTTTTTTTATATCACTAGGCAGAAGTGTTCTTTTAATCTATACATGTACCAGGCTAATGAGGAGCAAATTCTGCCTCTTTATGCTGTGCTTTCTATGTTGCATGCTCAGCTTTAATTTGTGATTTGTGTGAACCTCTGTAATCAACAGAATGTATAAAATATTCAGAAGCCAGGGGGAAATAATTAGATTATCCCCCAGTAGCTAAGGCTCTTCTTAATTTCCAAAATCCAGAATGGTATTTTTACAACATTATATAATTGATCTATACATAATGATACATACTTCTATACATACACAAGTTACTGTGCACTAAATAGGTTTTTTTAACTTTTGCCCATTGCTTATATTTTCAGTTCTCATGATTCCAAGATAATAATAGTCTCCAAAAGAAAATCATAAGTCAGTAATTTCTTCTTCTTTCTGTGAGATACAAAATTGAATAATTTTACTTTTTTTCCTAACCTAGCTTACTTTATATAAGTGGCATGAATGTTAAAAAGCAGGAGAAGCCAAAGGCCTAGTTAATAGTATCCCAATTTACTGTAATGAAATTTAGTAAATAATAATGTCCCAATTTCAGTGTCCCAATGAATTTTCATTATAGTAAATTTCTTGATTTTTCTCTTACCTGCTTTAAGTAGTGCCTTGCATTAAATAATCTCCCAGTCACTCAACTGTTTATCATTATTATATTTGCTTATGTCCTTTTCTTTTGTTTATTTAAGCTGGATTGTAGTCACATATTCCACTTACAGTGCTGTCGGCGAGTATTAGAAAATCGATGGCTTGGCCCAAGGATAACATTTGGATTTATATCTTGTCCCATTTGCAAGGTATGGAAAGAATCTGAAATCATGTACTTTCTTTTTCTTTTGTTCTTTCTTTTCACCTTTCAAAATAAACATATGTCAGTATCTCTTGGTTTTACCCACCAGCCCCTAGCAGTTTCTTCCCTTCTCATTCATGTGGAACCTGAGAATATAATCTCTCTGTTATAATGCATCTCAAAACAGTAATTGTCCATTTAAAACTGATTACATTCTGTTAAACATATTACATGAGAAAGTTCATTTAAACATCGTGATGCATTAAAGGGCATGCATCTCTACTCTCAGACCACTAGAGAGCTCAGTTGACATAACATGACAACGGCTACCAAAAAGAAGAATGATCCTCTGGTGTTTGTAGAAACTGATACCTGCCATTAAAGAGTGAAATTGGAACCCTCAGTACCACTAGAACAGATTCTTTTAGAGCTTAGTTAAAACAAGGAGAAAGTTCTTGGCATTTTGACACATTTGTACAAAGGTAGTCAGCAAGTAGGAAGTTGTTTTGGCAAGCTAATAATGATTAACAAAAAGCTGTTTTTGAAGAATGTGGCAGTACTTTCCCTATTAATTCATCGCCCCTTTTTGTTCTATTAAGCTCTCCCTATTTTCTTATCTTCGTATTTGCAAACTAATATAAAGGGTAGAATGTGGAAAGACTTAGCACAATCATTGTCTAGATAGACTGAGGAATAATCAAAAAGATTGTAGTATTTTGCTCTCCCCTATCATATGGTGCTACAAATATTAATAGATACATGAAAGTTTTACAGCAAATACTACCTGTTCACTTCTGTCACCTGGCGTTCTGCCTTCCCCTCAAGGAAGCAAAACACACACACACACACACACACACACACACACACACACACACACACACACACACACACACCAAACACAGAGCGTGTCTTATTTGTGGCAACAAGGTAACTTTGTTTCCACAATAGCTAGGGCAACAGGAGATATATTTCAGACGCAGGAAATATAAAGCTAATAAAATGGAATTTTCATGCTCTGTGTCCCATTTGCCCCATTTTCCCTGCTCTTGGAAAAATATGGGCTTCTAAAGAATTTACAGAATGTTTTTCAAATGACATTTTATTTAGAATATGTGTGCTGTCTGGTTATCTTCTAGCACAATGCTTGGCACTTAGGTGCATGCTAAGTGTTTGTTGAGTTGGTTAATAAATGATTCTGCTAAAGAGTGTTCATTTTTTATTGCAGAACAAAATTAATCACATAGTACTAAAAGACCTACTTGATCCAATAAAAGAACTCTATGAGGATGTCAGAAGAAAAGCCTTAATGAGATTGGAATATGAAGGTCTGCATAAGAGTGAAGCTATCACAACTCCTGGTGTGAGGTTTTATAATGACCCAGCTGGCTATGCAATGAATAGATATGCATATTATGTGTGCTACAAATGCAGAAAGGTATGCTATAAATTATACTGAGAAGTTTTAAAAACTAGAGCTTACCTATATGATTAAGAATTCAAATTGTACAGTGATATCTAATTATTCCATCTTAAGCCTGAAGTTAAAAATAAGATAGCTTGGTACAATGTTTCCCAATGTTTCCAGTAAAACTTGTTTACTTAACTTGTTTGGGGATTCTTTATTTAACCTGAACAAACTTTTCGAAACATGCAGTATTTCTGTATACAAGCTGCTTCCCATCAGTAATAACCTGTTGGCCCAGGGCAATTCCTTCTCGAATAAACTTCTCTCACTTGACTCTGCTAACCATTCCTTCCTTAAAACCCTTAATTCCTTGGCTTCCAGGACAACACACTCTTTTTCTGTCCTCCTTCCTTTCTAGTCATTTATCTTTAACTACTTCTTCTTTTTTTTTTTTTAACCTACCCCTTACATATTTGTTTTCCTAGAGCTCCATTCTTGCCTACTTAATAAATACTTCCTTACCTTGGGTGACCTCTTTTACATCTATACCTTCACCTACCATGTATATGTTTATGACCCCCCAAAATTTTTGAGATTTAGTTACAAATAACCAACTGCGTACCAGACATTTGGATCTCTCACACATACTTCAGAGTTCACATGTCAGGTATTATATTCATCAATCTTGGCCGGGCACAGTGGCTCACACCTGTAATCCCAGCACTTTGGGAGGCCAAGGTGGGCAGATTTCTTGAGCTCTGGAGTTTGAGACCACCCAGGGCAAGATGGCAAAACCCCATCTCTACAAGAAATACAAAAATTAGACAGGTAGGTTGGCATCTGCCTGTAGTCCCAGCTACTTGGGGGACTGAGGCAGGGGAATCGCTTGAGTCCAGGGGGTTGAGGCTGCAATGAGCTGTGTTTGTGCCACTGCAGTCCAGCCTGGGTGACATAGTGAGACCCTGTCTCAAAAAAAAAAAAAAAGACTTTACCAATCTCTGATCTTTATTGACAAAATCCTATCAATTCTGTCTCCAGATCTCTCTTGAGTCCTTTTTTCTTTCCATTACATCTCCAGCAAACCTAATCATTTTCCTTGGTAATTACAGTAGCCTTCTTCCTGAGCTCGGGTGTAGAACCCCTAATTCCTCTGTTGCATCCCTTACACTGCTGCTAATTAATACTTCTAGATCTAAAATCTAACTGGATCACTCTTCTACTTATAATACGGTAGCCCAGTCTCCCTCTCCAGTCTCATCTCCCAAGATGCTACCATTTGCTCTCCATTTGCTGCCACATACCAAATAACTTGCATTTCCCAAACTCAGCCCTGTCTGCTCACCCACTGACACCCCCATGCCATTGCACAGGCCATTGGTGTTTAAAGGATGCTCTTCTCTACCTCCCCCTGCATATTTTACTCTGACCTGCCACCCCCAACCCCATACACACATGCTGTCATGCAGAGCCTAATCTGTCTTGTCATACCTCGGGCTTCAGCTCAGGTTTCACCTCCTCTGTAACATACCCCCATCTCACTTCCATCAACACCACCACCACATGATTTTGGTATCTTGCAGGCATCTAGCATAGAACTCCCTATTCTGCATTATGACTACTGGACCACTTATCTCTCTGCCCTACTTGATAAGTTCCATGAGGACAAAGAGTATGTTTTTTCATTTTTCTATCTCTAGTACTTTGCACTTACTAGATACAAAGTTAAGTGGAGAATGAATAAATGAGTGAAAGAATGACTACATGAGAAAGGTGCATAGTCTCCCAATGTAGCAAAAAGAAAATACAGAGGATGAATGGATGTCTAAGTAGAGAGATGATAGCCAGAAAGGCAGATAAATACATGCACACCCAATAGTGCACATTTATGAAGCTTGTATTGTTACAAATAATAAAATAGTATTTCTGTGTGTTTCATGTACTAAACATTATAAATGAATATTGTGCTATTACAGGGTAGCAGTCAAATGCTTAGGAAGCCAAGCAGAGGATATAGAAAAGTGAAACAGCTGGAGTAAGCAGTCCCCAAGACAAACCGAAATACTTCCAGGGTTAGGTTTAGCTGGTGAACGACCGTTTATAACCTCTGCATCAATGGATCCTGTCTTTGGACCTGTTTTTCTAGTATAGATAATAGATTTATATTGACTCAGTTTGTTTATTCCCAATCCGGACATAGCTTTTTGACTATGAGACAATCAGTGCATGCAAATTGTCCCAGTTCCTTGGCCTCACTTAATCTCTGCCCAGGGCAAATACAGATAAATCACCCATCATGATATTTTTATTTATTCATGATAATTTTATTTATTCAAATTCTATTTATGCAAGTGTCTGTATTGGAAACTGTTGAGTTCCTGCCTACTGCATAACTTTATAACTATGAGCAGAATTCTGAACAGAATTATCAAATTTGCCTTTTTTTTTTTTTTGAGACGGGGTCTCACCATATCACCCAGGCTGGAGTGCAGTGGCATGATCTCAGCTTACTGCAGCCTCCACCTCCTGGGCTCAAACAAGCCTCCCACCTCAGCCTTCTCAGTAGCTGGGACCACAGGTCCTCACCACCACGCCTGGCTAATTTCTGTGTTTGTTTGTATTTTTGATAGAGATGGGTTTTGCCATGTTGCCCAGGCTGGTCTTGAACTCCTGAGCTCAAGGAATCTGTCTGCCTCACCCTCCCAAAGTGCTGGGATTACAGGTGTGAGCCACCATGCCCAGCCGGCCTTTTCTTCTTAAAAAATGTGTGATCAGAGGATGCTTAAAATTACTTTTTTCTTTCCCATTAGCCTTGGAATTATAATTCTATACTAATTACTTTATGTATATTTTGTTCTACAGTATTATAAATTGGGAACTGCTAAGCATATTTATTAAAACAGTAGAAGGGGATATGTATTTTAATATTTCAAAATGAGAAAAATTTCTCAAACTTTACCCTGAAAAAAGCATAGCTTTTACTACTTAATATTCTGTTGATATTTACTTGGAATATTATACTTTTTTGTTTTGACAGGACAATGTAACTGCCTACTTTAAGCTTGAATCCATTTGAGAGTCGAAATAGCTTTAGGCCAGGCATGTGGCTCATGCCAATAATCCCAGCACTTTGGGAGGCCAAGGCAAGAGGATCACCTGAGCCCAGGAGTTTGAGACCAGCCTGGGCAGCATAGGGAGACTCTGTCTCTACAAATAATTAAACAATTAGCCGGGTGTGGTGGCGTGCACCTATGATCCTAGCCACTCAGGAGGCTGAGTTGGGCGGATCGCCTGAGCCCAAGAGGTTGAGGCTGTCGGGAGCCATGATTGCGCCACTATGCTCCAGCCTGGGCAACAGAGTGAGAGCCCGTCTCAAAGAAACAGAGAGAGAGGTGGAAGAGGAGAAGAGAAGAGAAGGGAAGGAAGGGAAGGAGGGAAGGAAGGTAGGAGGGGAAGAAAGAAAAAGAAGAAATAGCTTTATTTCTTACCCTGATCCACCCTACATACAGTCAGCAAGCAATATGGGCATGCACTTGGCATTTCAAGGGATGGTCTAGTAGATAATGGTATTTTCTAAAACCCCTAGATCTTACTTTCACTATGCCCATACTGTATCTCCCATGCCAGAGTTTTCTTTTTTCCTGCTGTAATCTAGATGTGTTTTCTCCACAGGCATATTTTGGTGGTGAAGCTCGCTGCGATGCTGAGGCTGGACGGGGAGATGATTATGATCCCAGAGAGCTCATTTGTGGTGCCTGTTCTGATGTTTCCAGGGCTCAGGTAGGCAGAACATTTTATTAGAAACAACAGTTTAGAAATGTTAAATAGTATTATTTTTTAAACAATAATATGGTGGGAATGTAAATCAGGCTTTTCTCCTCAGTATTTTCTGATATTTGTTCAGTGTTGTATAATTTTTCACATTATTTCATATATATTATTTCCTTTGGGCGATATTTTTATTTTATAATTTTGTCTTCCATGAAATGATCACCATAGTTAAACAATGTAATAAATTTTCTTATTTTCTTAGTTTCTTAAACGTGCAGTGAAACTTTTAGGTTTTCCCCTCTTCAGTGAAATGTTCACAGTACATCTGTGAGATTATAAGAGAGGTTAATTTCATTAATTTTCAGTTTGACCAGCCATAAAACATTCATAAAGAAATTAAGTACCTTGCTTATTAAATCAGATAGATTATGATGGAAATGGAATTAGAACTTGGATCTTTGTCCAGACCTTTTGGACAGGCCACATATTTATTTGTTAGTTTTCAAACATGTGTATCATCAGTTTTTCAATCAATTTTTAGAGTTATGTAGGCCCTCAAAATATGAATTAAGGAGCTGTCTATGTATATGCCTATCTTAAGTGTGATTGAAATAGTCTCACTATGATCTTGTGTCTGTCTCTTCTCTTTTGCTATAGATGTGTCCCAAACATGGCACAGACTTTTTGGAATATAAATGTCGCTACTGCTGTTCAGTGGCTGTTTTTTTCTGTTTTGGAACAACACATTTTTGTAATGCTTGTCATGATGATTTTCAAAGAATGACTAGCATTCCTAAGGAAGAACTACCACACTGTCCTGCAGGTATGCTTTTAATATTTTAAAATCACGATTATGATCTATATACCATAGTTTTATGTAAACATTATATGAAAGCTCTGTTTCAAGTGACAGAAACTCAATTCAAACTAGCCTAAAGAAGCAGGAGGAATTCCTTGATCCTTGTAAGCTTATGACTTTCTGGGTGAATTAGGAAGCAGGCTCATCATCATGAGTGAGAAGTTAGCTGTGACGGAGCAGATCTCATGGGGAGTGAGAATGAAGTCTACTAAGGATTGGTGAAAAGATGGCTGTTCAGCACTAAAAAGTCATATGAAGTTCAATATTACAGAACCATTTAAAAGGATTCTGTGATTTTTTTTTTTTTTTAACGAAGCCTGGAACCGTTGCCATAAAATGAACCAAGTGATTTAATCTAGAATGGCTGGGAATCAGTAGTGTAGTGAGCATCAGAAAGTCAAGGGAATTAAAGAAACCACTCAGAATACAGGAGAAATTATTGTCTATGGAAAGCAGGCTGAGGGGAAAGAAGTATGAAACCAAAAAGAAGCTGAAAATACTGGAAGAGGACAGGAGGCTAGTGGCAACGGTGAGGTGGAATACCAGGCTTCACGGAAGTGAGAGAAGTGGAAGGAGAGGTCCGTGCAACCATAGGAGAGAATTTTACATAAGATATATCTGAAATTAGTGAAAATACATGCACAAGTACATACAACACAATATACCGTGTTGTCAAAGCTAGAAAACACACACTGCCATCTGCTGCCTATCAGAGTGCAAGTGATAGACCTCTCCGGAAAACAGCTTAATAGTGCCTCTCAAAATTACCAGCGTATCAACCCTTCAGCACTCCCTCTTCAGGGATATAGCTACAAATGTGAGGACAGTAAAAAAGGGCAAATAAACAAGGTTATTAACTACAGCTTTGCTATGATAATAAAAATGTATAAACAATGCTAGTGTCCAGTAGGGTAGTGGCTAATATTACGCATCAGTTTAAAAAAAAAAAAGAGTGAGGATGGTGTTTCTGTGTGCTGATTTGGAAAGATCTTCAGGAGATAGCATCAGATGAAAAAAGTAAATTAGGCCAAGTGGTGTGACTGACACCTGTAATCCCAGCACTATGGGAGACCGAAGCAGGTGGATCACTTGAGGTCAGGAGTACGAGACCAGCCTGGCCAACATGGTGAAACCCCATCTCTACTAAATGTACAAAAATTAGCCAGGCATGGTGGCGGGTACCTGTAATCCGAGCTACTCACGAGGCTGAGGCCAGAGAATCACTTGAGCCTGAGAGGCGGAGGTTGCAGTGAGCCAAGATTGCGCCACTGCACTCCAGCCTGGGCGACAGAGCTGTTTCAAAAAAAAAAAGCAAATTGCAGAACAGAGTATGCAGTATGCTGCCTTTTGTAAGAGGGAAAATGAGACTATCTAGTCATATTTGTTTATATTTACATAAAGAAACCCCTGGAAAGATACTCAAGAAACTAATACTATTGATTAACTATTGGGAAAAGCAAGAAAAAGATGAGGGTAGAGACTAGGGAAAGTTGCTTCCAATTGTGTTATCATTTTTAACATTTTGATTTTAAACCATGTGAAACATATACTATCCATTTCAAAATAAAGATAAGTAGGGTTTTTTCAAGTATGACTACTTTTTACCATTTGCTCATGTCAAATAAAAATTGTTTTACTGTTTCTCCTCAAATACTGTTTTTTTTTAATAGAAGTAGCAGGCTTTGAAAGAAGCAAGGCCAGAATGATGTGAAGCCAGGTTATGGAGGATAATGGACAGAACAGAGATGTGAGCCATGCTTGGAGGGAGGGGGTGATGTGCTGGAGGTCAGCAAGTGAAGGGAGTGTGGAAAGGGCAGTATTCTAGATGACTCTAGATGACTTGAGCTTGGAGGAAGGGCAATTATTGAATGAAAGTTGTAGGTTGTGGTCTGGAAAGAAATAGGAGCCAAGAGAAAAATCAGTCACACGTTGTAGCCATATGACCTGGAGGAGCTTGGGAGATAACCAGCCTCCAGTTGAGAAAGATTTAAGGCAAGCAGTATCTTCAGGGGAAATCTAGATTTTACTTAAAGTTTCCTCTATGTTAAAAAACAGAAATAAGAATGCTAAAAATAAGGAAGTTAACAATGAAACACTTTAGAGAACTCAGTGGTGGGTAGTAGCTGAGAGAGGAGGGTCAGGTTTCCTCACAGGATCAGGGCAGCCAACACAAAGGAATCACAGGAGGGAGGCGGGGGAGGAGCCAGAGTTGGCAGAAGGAAGGAATGACCTCGGTCCTGGGCATTTTCACACATATTTGCTCCATTTTTACAATCTGCGAGTAGATGGTATTATCCCTATGTTATCAAATGGAAAATTGAGGGCTAGGGAGGTTAATGAACTGGCCTAAGAACATACACTGAGATTGAGGTATACTCTCCCAGCCTCACACATCCCTCTAACTCATCCATTCATTTAGAGAACTGGAATAGAATAAAGGAGATCCCACAGGGATGTGAGTAGGGAAGATGGCCATATACAGTTTACTTAGAAGGACAGAAGAAGCAATTCTCTAACCACTCTCAACCCTGTTAATTCTAATATTTTTAGATAATCAGTCTTCATCCATTCAAGCTGCTATAACAAAATACTGTAAACTGGGTAGCTTATAAACAGTGGAAATTTATTCTCACAGTTCTGGAGACCAGGAAGTCTAAGATCTAGGAATTAGCAGTCGAGGTGTCTGGTGAGGACCCACTCTCAGCCTCATAGGTGGCACTTTCTTGCTGTCGTGGAAGGGCAGGGGGCCTCTCCTGGGTCTCATTGATAGGAAGAGCACTAATCCCATTCATGGATTCCACCCCATGACCTCATCACCTCCCACAGCTCCACCTCCTAACACCATAACATTGGTGTTAATGTTGTAGTCTCAGCAGTGCACCAAGATATAACAGTCTCTCATTGTCTGAGATAATGCCAGGAGTTCTTTGTCCTACCTCCAAGAAGATTAAGGAGCACAGATACAAAGGTGAGGTTAGAGCGAAAGTTTAATAAGCAAAAGAAGAAAGCTCTCTGCCAGCAGAGAGGGGGGCCCAAACAGGATGCTCCCGTGAGGCTGGGGCCCAGGGTTTTTATGGACTGGAAAGGGGAAGGAATGTGCTTAGTCTGTGGGCTGTCTTGGCCCGCAGCGTGACTCAGCTTGGCCCGGGACCCTGGCCCAGGAACCCACTGGAGCCCACTGTGCCTATGCCCACAAAAGGAGAGAGCCCCCTGACTATACAAAGGACAAAGGCATTTCTATCCCAGGTCTTGTCCTTTATCTGATTGAAGGTTTTTCTGTCTGTGCAGCCGTGGGCATGTCTTTAGGCACAATGCCCTGTGCTAGTTCCCTCATCGGTGCCTGCAGCTTGACTTTTTTTCCCCAACTGCTTTTTATGTTATATGGGGATGAGGCACTGACCTGTGGACCTGGGGCTCTCTGGGGACCCTTCCCTTGCTATCTACCTAAGGCAAACTAACTCCTTTCATTAACACGTCAGTATATAAATTTGGAGGAGCACAAAAACATCCAGACCATAGCATAATCCCTCTATCCATTTCTTTCTAAAATATTTATTGACTACCTTCTCGTGCCAGGATACTTAATCTTCACAGCACCCCATGAGTTAGGTATTGCTGTGTCTATTTTAAAGATGAGGTATCTAAGAATCAGAAAAAATAATTTTACTTCAGTTTCATATCTACAAAATGAGGATAATCGTTTCTGCCTCCTATGACTGTTAAATGGTTAAGTAGCTGATATACTAGAACAGTGCCTCAGTAGTAAGCACTCAGATGTTTGCAGGTGTGTTTTCACTATTTTTATTTCTCACCACCATGTTGGATTGTGAACACCTTGAAGATGGGAGCCATGCACTTTTCATCTTTAATCCCAAGTACCTAAGAATGCCCTTCATATATTAGGCATGCGGTAAATATTTGTTGAGTAAATGACTCATTTTTTCCTTGAAAAAACCCAAGGGCTGCAGTTTGTGTCACCACCATTGATATGTTGTGTATCTGAACTAGATCTGCCATTGAGTGTCCCCATCCTGCGCACTCTCCCCCACCCACTGGTGGGGTGGGCACCAATCTGCAGTGTGATTTGGAGCAGGAGCTACTGAACTACTTTCTAACAGGAATAATTAACTTTCTAGCAAACCTCTGGCATCCTCCCATGCTGACCCATCCTGAGGTCTGTGCCTGCATTTGTCTGAGGTGGCACTCATTGCCACTCTCATGCCTGTTAGCTCTAACCTGAAGTTGACTTCTCTGAGATTAGCTGTCTTCAGTTTGACACTCTAATGTCTTGGTCTTACTCTTGTACAGAACTTACTTTTTATTCCTCTAGATCAGGCCTCAGTTTGTGGTTGTTCAGTAATAGTAGTAATAGCCAACATTTATTGGGTATTATACTGTGCAGTCTAAGAGCTTTATAAATGCTAGCCTTTTATCCATCATGGTTTCCTTCTCTTATGTCAGAAATGTTTTTAAACCTAGAAAAGGTAAAGTAAATGAGACGTCATTCCTCATTGATCAGTGTAAGCTCATTCCATCCAATCTCGTGATATTTTTCTCTCAAGCACAATCAGAATTTAGATTTATTATTTTGAAAACTAGCTGTAGAAAACTAATGCAGAGTTCCTATTCCTTCATCTACTATTAAATAGGGACTCTGCTTTCAAGTATAAGCCTAGCGTGTTTTTCTGACAAAGTAAGCCTCCTGGTTTCTAAAGGAACTAAAAATCTTTTCTAAATGATATGAAACCCATGACGTGAAGCACATTAATATAATAATTTTCTTTTTTAAAATACTGTTTTTGGTACATTTGATAGGCCTACTTTGATTATTATCAACAAATTCATATCTTCCCCAAAGTGTTTTTTCCACATTGTATTTTATAACATTGTTCATGTTTTTAACCTGATAACTTTCATTTTCCTGCTAATATCCTTCAGGTACTTTTAAAAATTACAGGAATCATTGGCCTTCCCATTTTACCAGTGTGGGCTTTTTCATCAGTAAAAATAAAAGGGAAAACATGGCTTCTTTAAACTTAAATGTTTTTACTTATAGAAAAACATTCTACACAAAAATCTCCCTGTTTTCTATTCAGAAAAATAATGTTCTGCCAGACTAAATTGAGGGGTTTTGTGACCTTTTTTGTTCATTACTCTGTTTTAAAATGATATATCTGATGCATTTATTAATAGAAAAAGATCTGTAGCTCGAAGTGATCCTCTCTAGGCAGGATATAGTGAGTAAGGGACCCCATCACTTCTTCCATTGTACATATCTGTGTTGAATTTTTTATAGTGAACATTTTTTACTTTTGTGATCAGAAGAAAAATTTCTAAATGTTATATTTGTATAACCATAGTCATGTTATTTCTTTGAATAACCTATCAGTGATTTATATTTCTGTGAGGTTTATATGTGTGTATTCTTAAAACATTATTTTCCTTTGCCTCCTTCAAATTTATACAGGTCCCAAAGGCAAGCAGTTAGAAGGAACTGAATGTCCACTCCATGTTGTTCATCCACCCACTGGGGAAGAGTTTGCTCTGGGATGTGGAGTGTGCAGAAATGCCCACACTTTTTAGAACACGCAGATCCTTTGTCTACAGAGAGAAAAATTGCCTTCATCCCCCAAGAGGATGCGGTGAAGTTTAAACTCTGCTCAGGATAAGGACGGGACCATTTTTACATCCATGAAAATGAACCATTCACAGTGCAAGAAGGATACCAAATACCATGTACATAATTCTTGCTATGAAAAGTTTCCCCATTATTTTGGTTTATCTTCTTTTGAACAAATGACATCAAACTTGTGAGGTGTTTGCATGTGGCCATTACCGTCATTGGCCTGTGAAGCATTGGACATTTATAGATAATTGATATAAAAGAATCGCCATGCCCATGGACTAAGAACGATGCTGGCTTTCAAGCAAAAAAGAAAAATAATCATTGTTTATTGTATACTGCCTTTTTGTAATCCTGTACAATTGCATCACGGGTGGGGATAAAAAGAGGAATATTCTGGTTTATTTCCTAGACTGTTATTTAAAAAAAAAAAAAACATTGTGTTAGGACAGCATATAAATGTAATAAGTATCACACTGTATATAAACATATCAATGTTTGTCCTGTATAAGAATTACTAAATTACAAATGCAATTTCATTTAAACTTCTAGGTTAAGTTTGAGCCTGAAATTTTAATGAAGTGCAATACTGAGTGTGCCTCATTATCTTGCAGCTGTAAACATATTGGAATGTACATGTCAATAAAACCACTGTACATTTTTATACAGTGATAAAGTCTACCACTGTGGGAGGTATTGTTTAAAAAACAAAATTTGAACACCTTTAAGGTCTAAAAGTCCAGTTTTCCTCAGAAAGAAATTTACTAACACAACACATTCATAATTTTCAAAACTGTTAGAGAAAATAAGAATAGTAATGAAGTGCAATGTTGGAATCTTAAACCCTAAGCAGAAGATCATAAATATA